>NC_000007.14:121597688-121900718 GCF_000001405.40 Homo sapiens | reverse complement strand
CCTATGTCATTCTCCTACTGCAAAGATTTAGAGCCAGGCAGGAAGAGGCGTCTGAATAAATTGGGCAGCATGACTTACCCTTATCTATATCCTAGAGATGAACCACTATATCAAAGCTGTTTGTTGGTGGGTTCCCCCTACAAACAGATACAGAGACTCTCAAGATCTCTTTGCCAATTGTACATCATTTACATATCATGTGGTAAGTTAGTCTCTGGTGCTGAGGACTTCATGGAGTAGAATGGGAAGAGAAATGTATAAACAATTACCATAGAATGGGTTCTAAACCATCAATGGGATCCAATCCAATAAATAGAAGAGGCACATCAAAACAGCGTGATTTCACAAAAGGAGTGACCTTCCTGGGACAGACAGAAAGGTATCAGAGACAAGGCAAAGTTTGTATTCTGTTGTAAAGGGTGAGCGGCCTCTCCTGGGTTGAGCAGTTTTCTTGAGTTGCCAGGGCTTTGATCCTTGTTCACGTTTATGACCTTGTGTCTTCAGCATCTAGTTTCAGTTCACCCCTTCTGCTTACCTTCTCCCTGGTCATGTTTCTTCCTTCTTCCAGCTCCCAAACTTGACCTCTGCACTCTGAAATCCAAATACAGGCTCTCAACCTGTCTCTCAGGTTTCAATACCTATTCTCGTGCCCTGTTCTGTCTCAGTAATTGACCCTCTCACATCTGCTCAGGCTTCAGCCATGAGAGTATCTATTGACTGGGCCAGAATTTTCTTCAGAAAACTGATCTGTGTCCATTCCAATAGCTTTGCAGGCCCCTAGGTTTAGCCACTGGAAACAGTGGTCACTGCTATTAGAGAACTAGTTCCTAAGCATAAATACTATTGCTAGAGTTTCCCTGTACTTTAAAAACTCTCTCTTGTCCAAGGCCTCAAGCTTGGTCTCCAATAGTCCATAAAAGGAACTCTGAATACGTGAACACCATGTAATACTCTCTCAAGGGATCTGTCAACCTCCAGTTGAAGGCTGCTCCATAGCCCCAGTCTGACTTGCACAGAGCTATAGGGTCTTCCAATCAGATCTGGTCCTTTCCCCAGGTCTAGGGCATGGGTATTCACCTGTCCCAAGTTCCCATCTTCTCTGTGCTCAGCTGTAATTCCAAAGAGCTCCAGGACTCAAGCTTTCTCAGGAGAGAGATAGCCTGAAAGAAACTAGATAATGTCCCTACAATACCATTCTGTTCAAATGAAATCTGAGCTTTCAGTAACTTCAAAGATATATAGAACAAAACTTCTGATAACTTAAAAAAATATGAACTTTTATAGTTAGCAGAATTTATCTTCCATATATTTTATGTTACATATAAAATATTACAAATATGACAAAGCAGGAAAGATACAGAAAATGTACTTGAGAGATCTTGAAATCACATATGAATATACTTGCAAGTATTAGAAGGTAGAAACGTTGTGAGTCATGAATGAAAATAAATATAATCGATTTGAACTGGGTAATAAGCTTTAATGCCTAGTGGAATTTGCCAAAAGGAAGAAAAGAGAGATATGTTCTCATAATTACAGTTTCATTTAAAACAACTAGTTTTAAAAAAAAATCCATTAGTACTGAAGGGCTTTTGAAACTACAAAATGTTTACTGTCCTGGGACTTGAATAATAAGACCAGCTGAGAGATGGAAAAGAAAGCAGTGATGGAAAAATTTTATCTAAATTATAGCAATATACTTTAAATTACAGCAATAATATCAGGCTTTATATATGAATAAATAAAAGTTTACACTGGACTTGCTGAGTTATTTCTGTAGTCTCATCTCATATCAATTCCTCATGCACTGCCACCATTAGTGATTCCATGCCCTATTTTACTTCTTGAACACACACTCTGTTCTAGCTTTTTTCCCCTGAAGCTAAGTAACCTCAGCTACTTACTAAGAGCTTCCCTGAACTTTTTGGTAGATTTTAAGTAAGTATATGAAATACTTCTCTTTGTAGCAAAATGTACTTATTCTTAGAGCAGCAGATATACCACCTTGTTCTGATGTATAGGTTAGCAAGCAAAGCATTCAGTAGTACTCCCTGAGCAGACTTCTCAATTTCCTCAAAAGAAACATATTCAAGATAATTCCCTCATCTACGTGAAGGAAGTGTAGACAACATACATGAAGTTGGCATTATTCTGGCAGGGAAGAAAAACAGTATATTAAAAAAAATGAAGGCTGACATCAGACTCCATCTTCTCATTCTCTAGAAAATACAATTTGAATACAATGGAGACAATATCTATTACATTTATATTACAGCTATTCAAAACAGCAGATAAAAGATTTCCAAGAAATTCCTTTAACAGCAGAGCCGCTTTCTGGAGTGTATGCAACAACAGCATTTTTGGATTGTGAAAACATCACATCCTGCTTCTTCTGAATTTCTCCATTGAAGGCTGTTCCACAGCATAGAATCATTCATAGAACATGAAAAAAAAAACCCATCACATTATTCTACAATTAAAAGAAATCTTCTCTGAAGTGAATTCAGTGAGTAGGATGAAACTTATGAGAGCTGCACATATTCCTGAATGTCTCTAAGTACTTACATGGTTTACTGTTTTGTTTTTGCACCGAGAGGACTGATAGCTCTCTATATACATTATCAGGTATCATTTTCTGCTACTGTAGTATTTAAATGTACCACCGAAGTGGTACATTCTACATTTGGTAGGATGTTATTTTCCTCCTTCCTGAGGGCAAAGTTCTTTTTTCCTTCTTTTAATTTAAACTAGATTATCTAACGGATCCATTATGATATAATAAGGTTTTAGGGAAAAGAATCAGTGCTTAAAAACTCTAGTTGAATGGCCAAATAAGTAATAAGTCATCAATGGATAATTTTGCCTTATATATACCATGATGTCCTCTGCATTTCTGGCCACCACAATCACTTAGTGTTTCTTGATCACTCACTCTGCCCATGGAGCCGTAAATATATTCACTACATGCAACCTTGGAAAGGAGGGAGAGAAAGCTGCTGTGCATAGTTTTGGGTAGAGTAATGCTGTGAGATTGGCAGGAAGACCACGGGTCAGGTTTCCCTCTTAGTGGAGAAAGTGAACAAGATCTTCTAGCTAGCAGAAGGAGGGATTTTGGTGAAATATGTATATTAAGATGGGCAGTGACAGAGAGTGCAGACTAACCAACCAGATAGCATCGTGCATTGCTGGGCTGTGGGGATAGAGGAATGTATAAAACAAGGTAGAAAAACAAGAACAAATGTCCATACTCTGAAAGCACCATGGCAGCAGAAAGCCTCGAACCCACAGTATCAATGTAAAAAACTTGAGATTCTGGCTTTGAAGAAGTCATGTTACATTTTTTTTTCCATAGAGACTAGTTCTTAGGAATGTGTACGCTAAATCTATGTCAAACCTATTTCAAACTGTATCTCCACCATTATTATGAGTAAAGCCCGTTATCACTGAAGGGTATGAGGTTAAAAGCAGAGGCTTTGAAATCAGTAGACCTGGGTTCAAGTCCAAGTTCTGTTACCTTCCACTTATGACTTTAAGGAAGCTAAAAGACCAATAATAACAAGAAAAACAACAATAGTGTCTATCATTGCATTATAAAGATTATATGAGAACACAAATACAAAGTGTCTGGTACTATGATTGTCTTGAGAAATGGTTATTATTAATAAGGACAATACAAACCAAGCTAGTCTCTTTCTTTGTACAAGAAATGTTCATTATCAAATACACCCACTGACAATTTAGAGATTAAGGCAAATTGCCAATTGAGGGAAAAATAGATTAAAGCCATAAGCACGGAGCAATGAAAAATATCTCACCCCAGAAATATCTCACCCCAAGCCCTCAAAAACATCTAATCTATACAAGTGGAATCATACAGTATTTATTTTTCTGTGACTGGCTTATTTTACTTAGCATAATGTTCTTGTTTCTTTTTTTTTTTTTATTTGAGGCAGAGTCTCACCCTGTCACCCAGGCTAGAGTGCAGTGGCGCGATCTTGGCTCATTGCAAGCTCCGCCTCCTGGGTTCACGCCATTCTCCTGCCTCAGCCTCCCCAGTAGTTGGGACTACAGGCACCCACCACCACACCCGGCTAATTTTTTGTATTTTTAGTAGAGGCGGGGTTTCACCATGTTAGCCAGGATGGGCATACTGTTCTTAAGGTTCATCTATGTTGTAGCATATGACGGGTTTTCTTCCGTTTTTCAAGGGTGATTAATATTTTATTGATACATATACCAAATTTTCTGTGTCCATTCATCCATTAATGGACATTTAGGTTGTTTCCATCTCTCAGCTATTGTGAATAATGCTGTAGTATCTAAAGTAGGCAAACTCTTAGACACAGAAAATAGAATGGTAGCTTCCAAGGCTGGTGGAGAGGGAAAAATGAGAAGTTGTTCAATGGATATAGAGTTTCAGTTATACAAGATTAAGACATTCTAGTTAGATCCTGTACAACGTGCATATAATTAACAATTCTATACTGTACACTTAAAAATTTAAGAAGGTAGATTTCAAGTTATGTGTTTTTATCACAATAAAATTTTAAAACATCTACTCTATATCAATTACAGAATCATTGCTGTTAATGTGTTCCTTTTTAAAAATGTACATATGTCCTTATGAAGGTTGGAAATTCAAAGTCCAGCATAAATTACGTTGATCAGATAATCAGTGAATATATCTATAAATGAATACTCATAGAAATGGATATTTGATTGGGAAAATAGGCAGAATGACTAGGGAGCCTGGTAACACTTGGCGAGAAGGAGGACCCAGACAAGGGGCAGAAAGGGGGATTCTAACCTTCCAAGTGCAACGAAATAATATGTATCTGGGGAGGATAGGAGAAGAATACATCAAGGAAGAGGGAAGATGCTAAGCCAAACTTTTATTTCTTTGAGAACTGCCTAATATCTGAAGGATCTGGTCTTTTGCATTTCACTGACAATTATTTTCCTAACCGGTTTAGTGTACAGACTGTAGGCTGCCAACGCCTTTTATATCCTTTCCTCATAAGGCCAATCTGAGTCGTCTTGAAGACTCTCATATGATCCTTTACGAATGAGAGATCTTTATTTCTAGTGTGTAACACTAGAAGATTCATAAAATTGTAGCAATGTTTACAATAAAATAATTTATAAACTAAGCCTTTACAACTTGTAATAAACAAAATCTTTACTTTCTCCTGTAGTTCACATTTCCTTTAAAATATTATTTTACATCTCTCTTAATAAAAATCTAAGAAAAAGGGCATTGCTATTTTTGTTGCAAATGGGCTGCAAAAATTCTAATTAGCTTATGAGATCAATTCTACCCAACACTATCAACTTCCTGGAAGTCCCCTTATTTCTTAAAAGCCTACAATTCAATAATCTAGCTCCCAAAAAAGAGAAATAAGTATGATTATCCTACACCTGCAAGACTTAAAGAGGGTAGGGGAAACAGTACTAGAAGAGAACAGACAGGAGAGACAGGTCATAGCTATTTTTCTCATTAGGGTCACAGCCAGACTTTCAGGCCAATGCCTATTTTTATGGGCTCCAAAAACCAGGGGCACATCCTCTGTTTTAGAAGAGAAAGAAATAATATACCCTTTTAAAGCATTTGGATATCAAAATAGCTAAAGATTGTTGATCAAAAGATATAAACAATTTATGCAAATAAAAGCCTTCAGAGGACACATTTTCCTTCTGTCTTCTCTTCTAAGAGAGGGATTATCATTTTTAAAATTAAGGTGATACTCTCAAGTAAGAACTAACTATGATGACATTTAGCGTATCTTTCACTTTTAAAATCTATCCACTTCCATAGTTATAAATCCCAAAATTATCTAAAAAATTATATATGACAAAGACAATGAACATAATACACCTTCCCCCAAATCCAATAAAGTCTATCAAAATCCAAGGAAATGTCAGGGGGAATCCAAACTACATATCCTTAAGACAAAGAATTCTAATAATCTATAAGCAAAAGAGCAATGATTGAATGGGATAAAAGGCAATTTAGGACCAGGTGTGGTGGCTCACACCTGCAATGCCAACATTTTGGGAGGCCCAAGTGGGCAGATTGCTTGATCTCAGGAGTTTGAGGTGAGCCTACGCAACATAGCAAAATCGTGTCTCTACAAAAAATACAAAAATTAGCCGGGCATGGAAGTGCGTGCCTGTAGTCCCAGCTAAACAGGAGGCTGAGGTGGGAGGATCACTTGAGCCCGGGAGGTGGAGGTTGTGGTGAGCCAAGATTATGCCACTGCACTCCAGCCTGAGTGACAGAGGCAGATCCCTTCTCAAATAATAAAAAAAAGCACAATTTAAACAAAAGATTTGTACAAAAAGCAGTTCACAAAAGAAATGGAAACAATAATAAATACCAATGTAAATGTTCAACCATATTATTCATCAAATAAATGTCAACTAATGTATTAGTTAGTGGTGTATTAGAGTGGTGTTTCTGTTCTTTTGGTATGTTAAGCATTTAATGCTGGGAAGGGTTTTGGCAAAGGGGTCCTTCCGTATACTGCTGACAGGAGCACCAACTGGCACCTGCTTTTCAGAGTGCAGTTTGACAATGTGAATCAACAGTCTTAGAAATATGCCTAACTTTGTGGCAGAACTTATCCTTCGAAAAATTTTTTCTAAAAAATGATTAGATAGTAGGAGTTAAGGACTTGGAATTCAGACATAGATCTGAGTCTCATGTCAATCAACCATTTACTAGCCCTGTGCACACGATCGGGTTGTTCAACACTTTCTCATTTAACCTATTATAAGTCTAGACTTCCTCAGTCATATCCCTGAAGGAGGATAAAGAAGTGTAGCTACCTAATAATATCATTATATTCAGTTGAAAAAATACATACAAGATAATTAAAATACTATCTGGAACCCTATAAATATTTAGGAAATCTTGGCTATCATTAAGAAGTTGTTACAGGGGAACCAAATGTAAGAATATTCATGAATGCATGGTGAATAACAGAAAAAAACCTGTCAAAACATATTTTAATGAAATACTAGTTTGACAGTGATTGCCAATTGCTCCCCAATAACCATTTCCCCCTTTTTCTACAGTCACAAATTGTTTACCTGAGCACCTGGCCATCCAGAATAAATGCTAAATTTTCCAGTCTTCTTTGTGGACTTGCGGCTAAGTTCTGGCAAACTGAAGAGTGCAATTTCTGCATTGTATCTGTAAAGGGAATACACAGGCTTTGCCATTTCTCCATTTCTCCATTTCATTTGACAGAATACTGACAGGATTGTGAACTAACCAGGAAATATGGAAGAGAGTAATACTTCCAAGACAGTGGAGCAAGATAAAAGAACATTGGATGTCGACACCACGGTGCAAACCATCTTGACTGACTTTGTAAAAGAGAGGTCCACCAGTCTGGACTGACAAGGAAAAGAAAAGAGAAACAAATCTATTCTTGTTTGAACCACACAGCCATTTGGGGTTTTTTTGGGCATGCAATCAAACTATATTCTAACTGATACAGTGACTAAAAATGATGTTTAACGACATGACAAAGTTTCAGTATATTTTAGATTCAAAAGGCAGATCACCAAGCCATTTGTATAGGGCAATCATTGTTAAAAATGTACACCTCTCTCTTCCTCTCTCTCCCCCTCCCTCCTTCCTGCCTCTCTGTGTGTATATATGTGCATGTAGAAAAATGCCAGGAAAGAAGTTAAATAAAATGTTAAAAATTTGTATCTCTGATGGAATTGTGGATAAATTTTATTTTATATATTTTGTTATTTCTGAATATTTGCAATGATTGTGTATAATTTTCTAATCACAAAAATATTTTTCAAAAAAACAAAGATACCCACTACCATGCAGAAAATGATATATTTGGTTGAAAAGCTAGCATATTGCTAAGTCTTGATATATTATCTTTATTTTCAGGTAAATCCTAACTGCCTTATTATGGAGAACTGATTATTTTCTTAAGAGTCACTGCAAGACATTTATATAAACATTACATATATATATATATATATATATATATATATATATATATATATATGAGATGCTTGAAGAACTCTAAGATATATCAGGCAGAATGATTTTGCCCTTTAAATGGTGAAACTGAAAAGCCAAATTTAATACTTGTGAATAATCTTGTTAAATATTAAAGATTCAAATACATAAATTTTAATATATTTAATTATTTTGTTGATGGAGAGAAAATTAAAATACTCTTATGGTCTAATACCTCAACTAGTCAGAGTTCTGTGTCTCTTCCTTTTACCAGGCAGGTACTAAGTTTTGAAGATTTCCTATCCCACCACCCCACCTCCTCTTGCAGCCATCAAATATGCCAAATCTGGCATAAAAGAAGTGACCTTGAGGTGGAACTTTCCGTTCTTTTCTCAGTAACACTAAATGCCATAACATAAAAAAGCAGGGACCATATGTTTTGTAAGAAAAAACGTTGTAACCAAATAATTTTATTTGCATCCAGGTTGTCTTGCACATGTGAAGAGAAAAAAGACATAACATATATGTCTTACACAGAAAACAAGTTATCTAACAACACTTCAAACAATTGCTTCAAGGAACAGCCCAACCCCAAATGCTAAAATTATGGTATAAAGCAACAAACTATAAGCGCTAAGACATAAAAAATACAAATAATTTTTGTTAGGCTGGCTGCTGTATGACTATCCAAAGAAAATGTAAAAAACAAAAAAACTTAAGAACATTCTTTATTTAAAATAACAAATTTGTATTTACATTACTAAATGACAGTGACAGAGAAGTTAGAGGGAGCTGGAAGAAAGCTGCTGGTGGTGGGTGGTAATGCATTTCTTCTCTGCTGTAGTGCAGGACTCAGAAAACAGCTTCACTTTTGACAATGACAGAAAAAAAACTTAAGGCATTTTACTAGTTAATGTCTAGAATAATTAAAAATGTGACCTAGAAACGATAAATGCAAAGACCAGACAGTGCAGAAAGCAAAAACTGGAGAGTATGTAACACAATTAGTATGGATAAATATGAAAAATCAAACAAGATGAAGAAAGAATGTTGAAAAAGTAAACTAAGATTTCAGACAAGGTCAAAAAATGTGATTATATGATGTTTGCAAGGTTCATTTAACATTAATAAAAAGTTGCATAAAATGTCAAAAATAAAATGACAATGCAAGTTATATATGGCAATACAAGCTAAAAAAAGAAGCAGTGATATCAGCCAAAATAGGATTCAAGCAAAATCAAACTAAAAAAAAAAAAAAAAAAAAAAAAAAAAAAGAGGTTGTTTTATTCAACAAATATTTACTAAGCACCTATCATATACCAGGCATTATGCTAGGGTCTGGGGCTCCATGGTGAACAAACACAAAAACCTTCAAGGGGCTTACATTCCAATGGGAAGAGATAGAGAATAAAATAATTTAGAAAAATGCATGAGTGATAAGAACTAAGGAGAAAAATAAAGAGGGGAAGACAGAGGACATTTGAGAAGAGAGGTGGTTGCAATATCACTGCAGTGTGTCCAGGGAAGTCCTCAAATGAAAAAGTATCATTGAACAAAAACCAAAGGAAGTGAGGAAGTGGATCATAAATAATTATAAAAGAAAGGCATTCCAAATGGAGAGAACAGCAACAACAAAGGCGTTGAAAAGAATGTGCCTTGGTGATCCAGAAAGGCTAGGAGGACAGTGAGGCCAGAAGAGGGGAGTGAGGGGAGAGTGGAGTGGGAGGTCACTGAAGAAGTAACAGGAGAGCTAAGCATGGTGGCTCAAGTTTTTAATCCCAAAACTTTGGGAGGCTGAGGCAGGAGGTTCACTTGAGTCCAGGAAGTCAAGACTAGCCCAGACAACATAGATAAATTCCGTCTCTACAATAAATTTGAAGAAAAAAAAAATAGCCAGGCATGGTAGCACATGCCTGTAGTCCCAGTTACTCAGGAGGCCGAGGTAGGAGGATTGCTTCAGCTTAGAAGGTCAGGGCTACAGTGAGCTCTGATCATACCACTGCACTCCAGCCTGGGTGACAGAGGGAGACCTGTCTCTAAATAATAATAAAGTAATTTTTTAAAAAAATAAAAAGAGAAATAATAGGAGGCCAGAGCATTTGGGGCTTGATGGACACTTCATGAGTAGAGATTTTGGCTTTTATTCTGAGTTAAACAAGAAATTGGAGAGTGACATAATCTGACTTACATTTGAACAAAATCACCCTGGCTGATTTGTATGGTGAAGTAGGGAGACCAGCTGGGAAGCCAGTGAAATAACCCAAGAAGACATGATGCAAGTGTGGATAGGTGGTAGCAGTGGATGGAGATCATGAAAAAATGTAACCCAGGAGCAATACTGACATTTGCAATGGAAGATTATGTGTAGGCTGTAAGAGAGATGGAAGAATTAAAAGTGGCTCCAAGGTTTTTGTCCTAAACAACTGAGTGCAGTTGTTATTTATTGGGATAAAGAAGACAGTGGAAGTAGGAGTTGGGATGGGAGGAAGATCAGGAGATCAAGTTTGAACATGTCAAGTTTGAGAACTGTGTTACATATCTAAATGGATAGTTGAATATATGACACTGGGGTTCAGGTACAACTTCTGGTCTAGAAAGACAAATTTGGGAGTTATCAATGTAGAGAATACAGGGATGAGATAGTCATGCAAATAGTGTAGATGCAAAACAGAAGTAGCCCAAGGAAGAACTCTCAGGACTACAATGTTTAGAAGTTGGGGGGATGAGAAGGAACTAGAAAAAGAGATTGAGGAAGACAGTGGAGTACAATGTATGTGGCTAGTGAGATGGCAGGAAAGCCAGACAAGTATGGCATCCCGGAAGTCAGGTGAACAAAGCATCTCCAGAATGACACAATGATAACAATTGAAAGCTCTTGGTAGGTCCATAAAGTGAGGACCAAGAACACTGAATATTGGATGTACCAACGTCAAAGGCACTGGTGAGACTGATAAGGTATTTTTTTTTGTTTTGGAATGGTGGGAGCAGAACCCTTTTTAAACTGAGTTCAGGAGCAAAGGACAGGAGAGAAAATAGATAGTGACTATAGAAAACTCTTCCCAAAAGTTTAGCAGGCAATGGAAGGGGAGAAATGTGGAAGAAGTCAAGAGAGGAGTTTTTGGTTTTGTTTTATTTTTCTCTAATGGTAGAAATAATAGCATGTTAAGAAACACCTATTATTTTAACCACATTTGCTGATTAACTTATCATATGCTAAGCTAGTAATTTGAAATAAAACACCAATGTTTCAATTATGAATGGATATAATGCAACAAAATTGAATTTTGTAACTAAAGATGTGACAGTCAGCTGTAAACATTCACACAAAACCTTGCTTCAGGATGGCAAGAAGTCCTTCCAAAGTAATTTATGGTACCTTTGTCTACATTCTCTAGTATTTTACAGCCCTTTCTGCTTTTGCACAGAAGATATATCCTTATCAAAAACTTCAGAAGCCAAAGTAAATTTATCCTAATACAAAGACCATACATAGTTTTATGACTAATACCGTCTCCAAAGGACCATAACTACAATAGCTAAATTTTGTGCAAGGCTTCTCATACTGAAATGTTTGACTCAGGCCTCATTTTAAATACTTTTTTTAAAAAATAAAGCCTTTTGAAAGTGGGATGAAAGTATTCATTCTTAAAAATTAATTTTAAACCTATATAATTCCTTTCTGTGCTCATAATTTTAAAACTTCAATAATTTAATTCATTCCCTATATAATTGTGTTTTAAAACCTGATTTATCCAAATTAAGTCCTGCAGAAGCCTTAATCATTCCTTATAGCTATTTGCCAATTCTTCATTAGACCAAATATTGCTGCTTTTAGCTATTATGTAATAAAATAATGGATTTTAAGCTTTTAATAACATAGCTAATATTCTATCAAACATCACTATTTCAACAAGTAGTCTGTTTTTTAGTGTCTCTTAATTAACATCTGAGCACTGTAATTACTTTCCTCAGATGTGTTGTTTTCTCTTAATTATGTATTTCTTAAATTATAACAATTACATTTTGTCCTGGCATATTAAAACAAACATTTCAAAATAATTTCTTAAATCACCTATTATTCAATATTAGTCAAATTCACCCTAAGTTAAAAATAATGGCTATTCTTTCAGTGTAAGCAATCACATATTTTGGTGGATCCATTATCCTAATTCTAATTCTGACAGGGATAAGTGTTTTCTGAATTCGATTTTCCTATTGTTTTTCACAGAACTGGGCAGTTACAGAAGTTTGTGTAAATAATTTCCATTTGTCTATTAGTCTCATAAGTATTTCAGCCATCTTTTATTGAACATAACACTACCTTTGATAGTATTCCCCTAAACGTTTGCCCCATCTTGATAGACTTTTATTTTTCACAATCTATTTTTTTCACAGTCCCTTACTGTTTTACATGTCTTACTGGGGAGTCTTCATCTATACTCTAAACAATGTCAGCAGCCCAAAGAAGAGAAATTGATTCGATTCTTGACACAAAATGTATGGTCTCAGAATGTCACTCAAAACCCACCAAGCAGGGCAAGGCATAACTCTAATATTCCTACATTTTTTAAGACTTTGAAGCATCAAAAAACACTGTCTCTCGTTTCTAAGGAAAATAGGTTTTCCTCTACAAATCTTTTATGCTGCTCAAAAATTTTAAAGCATTCAATCCATGATAAAATGCTGACAATACAGCTATTGACAGCAACAGGTAACCAATGGCTGTAAAATATACAGTGCTTTCTCCAAGCTTGAATCAAACAGGATCTCACATATCTCAGATCTTGTTCTTGGTAGAAAGGGATAAAAGGAACTGAGAGAAATGCTCTTGGCTGGCACTAGCTGGGGTGTTGGGGGGATGAAGAGGTGTTAGCGAGAGGGATCCGGTATCTTTTTGTTTCATTAAAACCCCGGCTTGACAGGAAACACAGGGAAAACTTACCCATAGAAATGGTGCATCCGCTGTGCAGGCCAAAAAGTAGATTCTCCCACCGCTACTTAGAATAAAGAAACTTATAGTTCTCTTTCTCTCGTGTTTCTGGCTACAGTCATCTTTCTTCCCTTTTTCTGCATTCACTATTGTACTCTATTCCAATCACTTAATTTTCTTTCTTAAAACTCTGAATGCCATGAGTAAAAGCCCTTAGGAAGTTGTCCATGATTGTGTGCCAATTCAGTTCAAAATCTATATAGACTCTTGGACCTGTTAAAATGAGAATGTGATTTGATTGACCTACTTTCTGTTTACCTTTTTTTAAAATAAAAAAATTAAGAGAGATTGAGTGAATTTGAGGGTGAACTGAATTCTAATTCCAAATGCTGCAAATGTGATCTCGAGTTGCTTACTCTGCCAAATGGGGGTACAGAATTAGTTGAGGTGGTAGCAACGTTTAACATTTGATTAGGCAGAAATGATTGTATTTTCTATTTTTCAAGTGATCACTTTTGAAGTAATTTCACTCACTCATTTATGCCACAAATATTTACTGAGCACCTACTATATGAGCAAGAAGTCTTTAGAGCCCAGTGGCTATATCCCATGAGGAGACCAGACTCCTTGAAGATACAGTCATGGAAACAACAGACACGCAATGTGAGTGCTGTGCCATCATGGGTGAGATGATGTTTCCCTTCCTGTGGAAGGGGACAATGATGTGTTAGCACAGACAAAGTAAAAGACAACAGGAATGCATGGGGCCCAAATCCACCCCAAGACGAGGAAAAGATTGAGCCAAAGGGAAGGAGCACACGTGTGGAGATTCAAGTAAAGCTGGACAGGTAGCTTGAGTTCAGGTTTTGAAGCACTTTGCATGCCCTGGTAAGAGTATCACATGACATCAAAACTCAAAAGAACCTATAGGTCCTTTCCCCTGATGAGTAGAAAAAACATAAAATTTTGTTCATTATTTTCTCAAAGGTTTCCATGGATGGGGACCCTGGCATACCTGTATTGTGTTTTGTTATTAAAGTCAGTTGTAGAATTGCCTTCTGAGAATTACAGAAATACATTATGTAAAAGGAAAGTCCTAAGAATCCGATTCCTTAAATCATTTCAACAGTCATTGCTATAAACTTGCAAAAAGTCTCTTAACATTGGCCTTAGGCAATAATTTATGTCAAATAAGTAATAATTATAAAGTGTTTATTGAACAGTATATATCTTGGCAAGAAAGTAGGCTGGTGAAGATTTCCTACTCTGATAGTAGATGGGTTTGTTGTTATTTTTACGGCTGTGTGTGTGTGTGTGTGTGTGTGTGTGTGTTACATTTAATAGAGTGGAATGTTTCAGCTGTGTTTTTGATGAACTAACGTATGTGTTTGGGATTTTTAAGTGAATGAACAAGAACATATATGATATATAAAAAACTTTCCATTCTTTATTACTGAATACCAGATAAAGAACCTGTGAGGATTAATCAGTAGGAATTTAAACTCCAGTCTACAGATCCCAGGTAGGATTATATGTGCACATATTAATATTTTCTCACTGAAACTTCATAGTCTGGCATATTGAATTGTAACAGACTGCAATAATCAAGCATAATTACTTCCACACAAAAAAGTCTATATCAATCTTTTCTTGATGACCTATTTTCAGTGCATTTTCCCCAGTAGCGCAATCACCCAAACACATCTCCAGCAAACTGTGTACTACAGTCTCAAAGCCTCATGTTTTAAAAACCAGCACTCCCCTTGTATTTAAGAGTGAGAACTCATCGCATAAAGATACACTTCCTCTGCCAGTAGAAGACCCAACCCATGTCACCATAAAAGGGTTTATATGTCATTATCATTAGCAGAGAGACTATTTGGCTGAATATTTGATCTTTGCTTGCCTGAATGCCATCAAGTCTAATACAACTTAGACTCTTGTGATGTTTGTAAAAATTATAAGTGTTTTCTTCCCTCTCCAAATTGACAGATGCTATAGAATTCTAATTTTAAAATGTGAAGTAAAAGAGGATGTCTTGAAAAGCTCCTTCCAAATAGGGAATTGAAATACTTTCTTATGGGCATTTTGCCATTTTGGGGGTGGGGAAGGGTTGGTATAACATTTTGAATAATTTATTGAGAAACATGGAAGCATCTTGTGTTTTCTTGATTTCTTATGCCAAGAATACTGAATAGTTAAAAAGTAATGAGAAGTTAGGAGAAAATAAGCTGGACTCACAGGTAAGACAGAGGCATCATTGGATACATTCTTGTGGGATGGACGGTGCCCAGATGTGCTGTAATTTAAAGGATTTAATGGCAACATACACTAGCCACTCTTGGCTAATTAAATGTGATTTCACGCTTTATGCTTCTTTCACAGGGATCCATTTTTCAGACAGCATTGCCATCTACGTTCAAAATTCTCCAGAGTGGCCAAAAATCATATGCATCCTAAACATTCTTGGAAATTTTGGCACCAAGAGTTTACCTTTGTCGCAAAATAGCAGCTGCTACCACCAAAAATTAAGGCTCAAGTTGGGATAGACTTAACTGTGGAAATTATGTGACATTTTTCTAGTGGTTGGTGTTGAACAGAACATATAAGAAGAGTGTTTTAACATACACATTTTGCTTATATCTTTTCCTACTTACCCAATTATTTTGAATGTGATAAAGTGGAATGCTGGGGAACCCTAAATGCATTTTGGAGACAAAAACCAACAAACTTCCATATTCAAGCTTCTCCTTAACCAAATAACCTAAAGTGAGTAATACAGGCTTATTGTTATTTATTGTTATGTTTCTTGAATGTAGTAAAAATGACGGGGAGGGACACAAAGGAGGCTCGTAATACTGAATGCAACTGCAAATGGTCCATCCATGTTCAAAAGGAAGAAGTGCTGCTCACATGCTCAGAGACTTTTTTAAAAAAATGAATTCATGTCTTTGTGTTTCCTTGTTCTGAATTTCCACAGACTTAAAATCTCATCCAAATAGTCTAGCATTTACATTATTATTCTCTTTTCTGGTATGCTCCCACCAGGGTACAATTCATATCTGTAACCAGATTAACTCTTCAAAGACAAAAAGAATTTATTAAAAAAGACCAAGGAGAGTGTGGAGCACACAGTAAATGTTCAACAAACATGTGCTGAACTGAGTTTCACTGCTCTAACTGGGCCCAAACCCTTTGGAGAGGGCTGACAGTGTATTCAGGTCACAGGAAGAAGCGGCATTCTTTCTGTCCTTTATGTTGGAGGCAGGAAAATGTCAGGCTCAAAATACCCAGAATATATGCTACAATTAAACATAATGATGTTTCCAAAGGATGTAATCTTTTAACATTCAAAATAAAGCAGTATCAGTTTTTAGCAGCAGGAAAAAAAATGCATATATATGAAATATACACGTGCATTTGTGTATATATATGCACTTACATATATGCATTTATATGTGTCCTTATTTAGGTGTGTATATAGATGCATATATGCACATATACATATATGTTTCCATATAACATACTTATATAAATGTATTTATATATATAAACCATTACATGTCATTTCCCCACCTGAAAGCCATCAAAGGAAACTTTACAGTAACCAAATACTTCTATTGAAAATCGATTCAGTCATACTTTTAAAATAGACAAAAGTTTGGCATTCAACTCATATATAGCACAACTGTCTATATTTTTTCATTACATAAGGAAAAAATATGCTTACATTTCAGTCTTGACAGCTGCTGCCTTCTCTCTTTCCTAAACTTAGTAATTGATTAATTTACCAATTCATGTATCTTAATGTATCTTAAGAGACATAGAGTAAACAATCCTATGTATTTTTCATGAATTAAAGAAAAAGCTAGCCAGGCACAGTGGCTCACACCTGTAATCCCAGCACTTTGGGAGGCCGAGGAGGGTGGACCACCTGAGGTTGGGAGTTAGAGGCCACCCTGACCAATATGGAGAAACCCCATCTCTACTAAAAATACAAAATTAGCTGGGCATGGTGGCACATGCCTGTAATCCCAGATACTTGGGAGGCTGAGGCAGGAGACTCACTTGAACCCAGGAGGTGGAGGTTGCAGTGAGCCAAGATCGCACCATTGCACTCCAGCCTGGGCAACAAGAGTGAAACTCCGTCTCAAAAACAGCAACAACGAAAACTGCCAAAGTCAATTTTTAAACAAATTCTGAGAAGCCTAATCTATGCATTATTTTCCATTACACTATTTTTATATAAAATACAAGTTGTAAGCAATTTACAAAGATGCTAGTTTATGGACATAAATATGATGGCCTTCAAGTAATCTGAACTTGTGGTTAAGAAAGCCTGTGTACTGGCAGAATGCTGGCTGAAATGTCCCAATAGTACATGTGTTCACTGTAAAAATGACAAATACAAGGCTTTGAAAGGTGAATGAAGTAAGTAGTTTTCATATTGGCATTTGATAAGATTAACCTGAAACTATAAATATACTAAAATCCTCCTTTAAAAAAGTTTGCTTGTTTTAGTTAAGTTGTGACTCTAATCTCTAAAAAAAATAATCATTTTTAGCAGCACTATTTCCTCTTATTTCTACTCAAGGCACTGAGTTAATCTGTTCAGAGAAAATGTCTAGAGTCAATTACTGCCTTGTCTTAACAAATTTAAGAGTTTCACCATTCAATAAATAATCAGGTTTCAAGCGATCATCCTCTGTTTCTCTCTCTTCTTTCTTCCCTCCAAGTTATCAACTTCTGTGGACTTGTATGTATTTGCTACCTTCTCTTTTCCTTCCTGGATATTTCTCTGATTCCCTGTGTTCCATGCTACATCTTCACCTTCCCAGAGAAGACACTCCCTTAAGGATCACCAGTGACTCACTCCAGAGAATGGCACAATGTCCTACCAATTATACCAATTACATTCATATCAAGTGAGATAATGTATCTGAAAGTGCTTGTTAAACATTAAAGAATTCTATAAAGAGGATGATATTATTATATCCCAAATGATCTATAAATTTCCACTGTGACTGCCACCGTGTAAGAGGCTTTTAACCAAGCTTCCTGATTCCCTGTCTCCCTCGGCTTCAATCCATCCTATGCTCTGATACCTGAGTTATCTTCCTGAAATAAAGAGATCTATTCCAGTCATTTCACTGCTCAAAACCCTTTAGTAATTTCCCATTGTACAATGAGTAGATTTCAAACACAAAACTCTTCAATTGGCCATTGTAAATCCTACCTACCATTTGAGACCTTTTACTGTTATACTCCTCTCCCCACTGTCCCCTCCCTCCAATTACCACGTTCTCACTTTCAGTCCATGTTTCTCTGCATGCCAACCTTAATCCCTCTGATGCCTTCTGCTCCCATGGTGACCCCTGAAGCTCTATCCATTTATCCTGAATGGTCTATATCCAATCCCATCTCCTACTAGAAACCTTCTAAGAGGTGAATTTAAGACTAAATATATCTCCACACAGCTCACAGTCTCATATGCCAGAAACTCCATCATGTATGAGACCTACTTACGTATGCATCTTTCTATCTTGTAAAAGTTCAGCTGGCCATGAGAAGAATAGTCTCTCTGGAGGAATATTTATCCCAAGGAAGATGCTCAAAAATGATTCATTAAATTAATTTGTACTTGCATCATCACTAATAAGTATATTAAAGGAGTTATTTGAAACACCTAGAAAAGTTCATTGTTAATTTTTAAATGGAGTTATTGGTGCTTTTCAAATACAGTAAAAAGAAATAGCCTATACCTGATTAATAATTTCATAAAACACACAAATTGCTAAAATGAAAAAGCAATAGCTAAATCTTAATATTTATTTCATAACAGTAAACAAAAAGCCAAGTTCTAACAAATTATGCATGGAGAAAGAAAATAAATAACAGAGAACAAGAATATGTATCATTGATGAAATGAACGATATTATGTGCTTGTGTCTGGATAAATGTCACTTGGAGTCCCCATCTCGGAAGCTGGTTCATTTACCCTCCTACCAGCTGATAGACTTGAATCTTTGGACCCACTCCAAGACTGCCTGGCCTCCTAAAGTTTCCCTGGCTTTAAAAGACTATGAGGTCAATCACCATAGAGCATACTCCTCCTTCTAGGGTTACTCTGAAGCTGAAACTGCCTTAAGAAGAGAGAGAGAAGGGAAAATTTCCAGGACCTTTGTCTTGTGGCACTAGCTTTGTTTTAGGACAGCATAAGACCTGCAAATATCTCCACCTTAAGAAAAATGAACTAAGATTAGTAGTGTCATGAAGTTGGCCTAGATCTGTGGTTTCAGTCCCAGGCTGTGCTCTATAATCACCTGGAGAGTTTTAAGAAAATGTCCATGTCTGGGCTCAGCACCCATACATTATGAAGTACTTGATTTGATGCCCAGGCATCAGTATGATTTAAAAGTCTCCCAGGTGCATAGTCAGCTTGGGCTACTATAACAAAATACCATTTACTGGGTGGCTAACATAACAGACATTTATTTCTCACAGATATGGAGGCTGGGAAGTTTAAGATCAAAAGGCCAGCAGATTTGATTCCTGGCGAGGGCTCTCTTTCTGGATTGCAGATGGCTGCCTTCTTGCTGTGTCTTTACATGGTGAATAGAGAGAGGATTCTGGTCTTTTTCTCTTCTTATACAGACACTAAACCCATCAATGACAGCTTCACCCTCATGACCTAATTACCCTGCAAAGGCCCTGTCCCCAAATACGATCACAATGGCAGGTTAGGGCTTCAACATGAATTTTGGAGAGGACACAAACATTCAGTCCATAACACCAAGTAAGTTCAAAATGCAGCCAGGATTGAGAATTATCAACCTAGATAAATGGTTGTCAGCGTTTTTGTGCACTAAAACACACATGACAATAATATCCCACATGCTCCTCAAGGGTATCCTTATGCTCCTTTGGGCAGATCATGATTTTGCACAACTCTGTGTAGCAGCTGAGACAATACCACCTTGACATATCCTATTCAAGAAAATGTGTCAGAATGCAAGTGGGTAAAAATTTAATAATAGAAATAATTTTCAATCTGATGACAATATGAATAAAAACCATTAGAAAATCTAAAAACTTCCTTATATCTGGCCAGCATGTTCTAAGCATGTAATCAAGACTCTGTTTATTACCATGATCTCTGCTTAAAGGAGTCATTTTAAAAATCAATGTTTTATTTTATTCCTACTCAAGGTACTGAGTTAATCAGTTCAGAGAAAAGAGCTCATAGTGAGACCCATCCTTAGGTAAATACATTAGAGCTTTAGGATTCAAGAAATAGGCAGTTCAGTCAGTAACAGTGAAAAAGTAGAAAATTTATCCAGTAAGTGCTAAAGGGGAAGGCAGAGAGAGAGGGTAGAATGTTTCTCCAAGAGCAGGAAAATATCTGTATTCTCATCATAGTTATGGATATTCTAACAGAAAATCCTTCTTTCTTACTAATGAATAAATTATTTCCAAGTACCCAAGTACTACATTTCCAAGGAAACTTGTAAAAAAAACTATCCCCTGTTAGCATGCACATAAATTGACTTGTACTTATTGAATAAGGCCAAAAACTTCACATTAACCAGTACCCAAAATAACTGAGTTTACTTTAATATCTGTGGGCAAATATCAGAAGGGGAAAACAAAGACAATCAGCCCATTTTACCACACTGGAATATTTAGGCAAAAACATCTGCCAACTCATACTTTAAAAATTTTGTTAACTACAAAGACCCCCAAATGATATTAACACAGTAAAAATATTTTTAACTAATGGTTTCAAATAGCATTAATCTCTTCCCTATCAAACTTTTCATCAAGGTGCTGAGCAAACTTAAGTTTATTTAATTATCTTAAACTCATGCTAAAAGAAAGTGAAGCTGAAGAGGAAATAGCAACAAAAAAAGAAAAAGAAAAGAAGGAAGGATTAAAGGAATGAAGGATAAAAGGAGGAAGGGAGGGAAGAAGGGAGGAAAGGGGAAGGAAGGAAAAATAGAAGGAAGGAGGGAAAGAAAAAAGGAAGGGAGGAAGGTAGTTGAGAAGAAAATAAAGCAAATATCCTAACAAAAGATCATCTCCTTTTTTTCTGCTTTTGACTCCTATGAAGATTTTTAACTGATCCCATGTCCCATTCCATTTGAATTCAACTCAGTTCAAATATTTGCTATGTGCAGAGTTAAACTTGTGTAGCACATCCTCTCTAGGATTAATGATAAAACTATTGACAAACTCCAAAAGCACGTACATCCACATGATAAAACTGCACTTCCCATCATTTGCCTGGTTTTCAAAACTGTTTTGTGTCACTATCTCTTACGGCCTTCTTGACTAGAGAAGACTTAAACCAATATGATAGCTTTTGGCTGACTGAAAATACAGTGTTCATGGGCTCAAGATACTTTATTTACTCATTACTGACCATCCTGCATCCCTCATTGCCCTCTCCTCCCCAACACCAGAGCAGCACAGGCGCATGCACTTGTACACATACAAAGTGGCACACTAGCTGACTTGATGTTCTGGCCCCCTGGGATGTATCCAAAACTCATTGGTGCCAACTCCTCTAGAATTAAAAGCTCACTCAAGACTGCTTCTGTAAGTACACACTCAGTATCAATCACAGGAACTTTATTTTCCATGCACAGATAGTGTCTGGATCTATGTAATGCTTGTACAGGCATTAATCACATTCATGACAGCTCCAACCTCATAGAGGATGCCTATATGCTTACGTGTATTTCTGGGAGAATCAGTGAAAGTGAAGTTCGCGTACCAGAAGTGACATTAAAGATGGACAGGTCAAGGTGAATGCTGACCTTACTCCCGGACTGAGATCATAATCAAAAGAGGGAAAGACCAGTGAAAATTGGCCAGTCTCAACAACAAACAACTATTTTTTTTTCTAAGAAGCTTCATGGTACAATCTTTCTATAACCTTATACATTAAAGATTTATTGGCACCTACTGTAAGTGCTAAGTTCAAGAATGCAATGTTGACTGAATTTTTCATTGAATTCTTCAATGAATGAATTTAACAATGAATGAATGATGAATGTAAGAATGGATTCTTTACCCTCAAATAATGTGGTCGAGTCAAGGAGACAGATAAATTGAAAAACAATACAGTGGATAACAGAACAAATTATGGAAAATGTACTATGGGAGCAGAGCACTCACTCCCGAACCAGCAGTTAATCTCTTCTGTTCAACCTCAGTCCATAAAGGCTACAAAGTGGCCACTGAACTCTTTTCACCTATTACTGCTCTACCAAAGGCCCCATCATGTTTCTAGGATGTTTGCAGGCTAACACAACACAAACCATAACTAACTCACATGCACGAACACTTCAAACAATTTCAATGACTTTAGAAATTTTTCTAGTTGAGTTGATGACTCCTCATGAGTTCTATCAATCATTATTTTACCAGCGTTTTTTGTTGTTGTTCCAAAACAACACTGCCAGATGGAGATGTTCCATGTCTGCACTGTCCCATGTGATTGCCACTAGCCACACAGATTACTGAGCACTTGAAATGTGGATGGTGTGATTAGGGAACTGAATTGTTTTATTTTAATAAATTTTAAATTACATAGCTACATCTGCCTAGTGGCTATGGTATTAAACAGGACATTTCTAAAATACAAGTGTTTTAAGATTGTGCTATATGATATTTTTTCTTTCTTTAATTTCTTTAATTTCTTTAAACACAGAGAAAAATTGGTTTCCTTTTGTAATCTGAAGTTACTTCTAGGAATTAATCTCAATAAGACACTAAAAGTTGAAATACAATTTAAATGTATATATTTTATATATATATACACAAACACATATATATATATACACTTTTATGTATATGCATATATATACATTTATATATGTATATACACACATATCTCTCTCTTGTTTAAATTGGCTCTGACTTTTACCATTGGAATTCTTAATGGAGCAGGAAGCATTTTAAAGTATTTGAGAGTTAACATATTCAACACATTAAGAGATATTTGGAAAAGACTTATTTTCGACTAGTTGTGAACAGAAAAAGTATCTTTAAAACAAGATTTAAAGAAAGTTTTCATTGTGGGATTGAATCAGATTAACTGGGTTGTGAGCATCATGAGTTTAAGTCTCTGTATGTTGATGCATAGCTGAATTATCAGCGCCTAGCATGGTGCCTTGCAGATGTCGGGCACTTAGTGAACATCTAGTGAATGAGTAGTTAAAGTAGCATGGCTGGAACGATTCTGTATCTGGATCACAGTGATTGCTACATGACCATATGCATCGGTGAAAACTTTCAAGATGGTAAAAATGTAAATTATGCCTTAATTTTCAAAAAAGGATAAAAAAGTAATACAAGAGTACATGGGCAAAATCATGAAAGGGATCCTCAGAAAAGCAAATGGGACTGTGAAATGTACCATCACATCACATGAAAGCAAGCTAGTGAATGCCAAACAGCAAATTGATCCTGGGAATGAAAAGAGGAAAAGCCTCAGGCTCTGGATTGGGAAGGAATACACAGGCTGAATCAGGATTTGTGATGTTAGGCAACTTATCTGAGTTCTCTGTGCCGGGTTCCCTCATTTGTAAAAGGTGTAAGATGAAAACACCAATATCAAAGGGTTTTGAGGAGAATGAAATGAGAAAATGTACATAAAATGCTCAGTGCTGAAACTGCACCTAGTAGACACTTGAGCAGATGGTAACTGAAAATGAAACACAGGCTCATCTTCTTAATTATGCCTTCCTTTGAGATCTTCTGGTCCTGACTGAGGGGGTTCCATTTCCATGCAACAGTCTGAACGGTCAGCAAATGGGTGGTCAAGCAAATCTCTCACTTTAGACAGTACTCAAATCTTTTCGGAGTTAAAGGGAATGAGAAAACGCAGCTTATGCTTCCAGAAAAACCTGAATTTTTGCCAGAAGCAAAATTCCCACAACATAAAATTTTAAGCAAGATCTTGAATCTCTAGTGCAGACATGAGAGTAGAAATGAATTCATCAATGAAATGATTTCTCCTGGCAAACTTCCCTGACTGGAAGCAACCACAGTATACGTAAAAAGGAGAGAGAAATGAAATAAAGAAAATTGCAACTCTGCAATGAAAAGGAATTAATTTTCTGAATAGAGGCTAGTTATTATTTGGGAAAAAGGCATGAATATTTTTTATATGTGGTTACAATTTGTTTTCAGAGGATAAATAGATCAAACTGAGAGTCACAACATATTGAATTTCAGACTCTATAACCAGCATAAATTAAGAAGTTAATTCTTCCAGAGGAGTTGGGTATAATTTATTGTTAATGTGGCTCTTAAAGCAGTAAGATGTGACTGAGAAGTACAGAATCTGATTCATTACATATTTAATAATAATACTTAAACATTTGAACTTAGTGTACCTTGCAGCACTATAATTCACTTAATTCAAAGATCCTGAATTCCTTCATTAATTGGAAGAAATTATTCCTTAAAAGCTCTTAAAATATCTACCTCTCCTCTATGACTCATAGTTAAGCCTCCTTACAGGAAAGCCACTGTAGTTTTTCCCATAAGATACACCTGTTCAGTGGGTCAAGAAAAATTTGTTTTGGTTCATGTATTCTGATAAATTTTTTGTCTGGAAAGTTATTTGAAAGAAGCAGTTGGTCTATTATGTCCAGTTCAAAACATCAGGACATTTTAGATACAAAATGATCTGATCTGATCACTAAGACATTCTTAATTGCCAATAATCAATATCTTAGTGAACTCTACAACTTGTTCCTGGATAATGGTAAGAATGACAGCCTAATGTTCAAATTGTATTGAGCTCTTCTCCTGTACAGCAAGTTTTAGTCAGTTGACAGACCCTTACTGAGCACTTAATACATATGTCAGGCTACCTCATTGGCTCTAAGAACACTGAAGATGAGGGGTAAACGCATCCACAAACACTGAAGTAGGTGCTGAGTGAAAAATAATTGAAATGGAGCCTAACTTTTTCATTTGAAGATAATGTGCCTCACTTTTTCAAAACATGCTGCCCCAAGATCAAGATATTTATGTTACTTGATGTTGCCAATGCCTCCAGGTCAGCCTGTTGGCAACTGTGTAAAAGGCCAACTTTGTTAAAATGGTGAGGAATACAAAAGTAGTCACCTTCCAGTCTCAACAAAACTCACTTGGAGTTCCAATGCAAGCTTACATTCAGTAGCATTACATAAGCTTGTGATAGTCTTTAAAAGTTAATTAAATTCTTTACACTTAAATTTTACATCACCAAAGACTTAAAGAAAATGTCCAACAAACTGAAAACTATACAACCAAAAATAGGCTACAAATAATGCTTTACAGAGAAAAACCTTTGCAAATGTGATATATTTAGTATATTGGCATAATGGAATATTACTCAGCCACAAAAAGGAATGAAGTACTTATACATACTATAACATGGATGAAACTGAAAACATTATGCCAAGTGAACAAAGACAGACAGAAAAGGCCACAAGTTGCATGATTCTATTTATATGAAATGTCCAGGATAGGCAAATTTATAGAGACAGAAAGTAGATTAGTGGTTGCTAGGAGCTGGGGTCATGGAGAATGGGGAATGGCTGCTAAGGAACATGGGGTTTCTTTTTGGGGTCATTAAAACATTCTGGAATTAGTGGTGATGGCTGCACAACTTCACGAATATATTAAAAACCACTGGACCATTTTAAAAAGATGAATTGTATAATGTGTGAATTTTATCTTTTTTTTTTTTTCAAAGAGATCCGCAACATGCTCTGGGCATGTGGTTTTGAAGACATACAAAGCAATACTCTCTGGTTTATTTCCTTGCTACTGTGATATTTACTTACATAATTTAATTACTAAGAGGACCTGCCTTCTTTGTTAAAATAGATCTACAATAGAAATGTGAATTCAACAGATGTTTGATGACCACGTACTTTTTAAAGCTGTCTTCCCCTCTCCAGAACTGACTATAAGGTTTTAGAATCAATGGAGACCAGAGATTCCCTTGCATGTCTTATGTGTCAACTATGCATCACACCACCCCAAGCACTTTCATAAAGCCTTTGAAATTTAAATTATGTCCGTGTGTGGGGGTCTATGGGCAATTATCACCGTATTTGCAATGTAATTTTCATTTATTAGAACTTAAAAATAGTTTCTGTTTGTAAAGGTTACTGTGCCAAGAGCAGCACCATCTATTGGATGAAAATGTACGCTTAATATCTACTCTACTATGAACCATCTAAAATTGAAAAATTGGGAGCCTCTGAAAAGAATTAAATATGTGTACTCACAAAGCGAAGTACAACACTTTGTAACTTTCAGGTTAATGCGTAAACCCATTATATTCTATCGCGATGGAAAATCATGAAGGAAAAAAAGCATTTCTTTAATAAAACGCAAAAGTCCAATCTTGCACTTCTCGAAAATGACTGGAAAACTTGAGTCTGCATCGCAGGTAAAGGGAATGCTTAAACTGGCTATTGCTGAATGCAATTTCAGTTTTAAATGTAACCTGGAGGGTGCAGATGAAAAATGAAATCTGTGAATAAGTATATCAACCTGCAGCTCTCCTCTGACTTTGGCAGCACTGACCAAACCTAGAGATTTAGATGGAACTTTTTTTTTTGTAAGTAATTGCGCAGACTTGAATATGACTAAATTGAAAGTAATAAAAAAAACCCTGAAAAGTCAGGTTGGTGCTTGTGCCTGTTACTACCTTTCAGGTGTGTGTGTGTGTGTGTGTGTGTGTCTGCAATTCACACCAGACACGTGTACTTTCCATTTAAGCCCATCATACCTATAGCATAAAAATGAACAGCAAAAAAGACAGTACAGTACACAGCCCCGCACCACAGCTGTATTTCTGGTCATTTATCTTCCTATGTATATCTAAAAGGCGATTTCTACACTTTGCAAAAGAGGAGAGAAGAACGGTGGCGGCAGGGATCCGAGTAGCCCTCCGTCTCCAGTAGCTCCGTCTCCTGGGGCCCGGGGCACGAATGCCCGCGGGCCGATGGAAGGGGCGAGGGCGCGGGGCGGGGAGGGGGCGCGCAAATCCCACGCAGCTGCCTGCACCGCGCGGCCGCCCGCTCCGTGGGAGCCCAGTTGGCTGTCCCTTTTTCCTCCTGGCTAGATGGCGGCGGCGGCGGCAAGTCGCGGACACGCTGAAATGCTCCCACCCTCATCCCACCGATCCCGGAGCTGAAACCCCACCGAGCTCTTCTCACTCACCCAGGCGGCAAACACAGAGGAGCTGAATGCAAGCGAGGAAACGCTTTAGGATTCGCATTTCCAGACGGTCTGCGGCCCCTCGCCGTGCGGCTCCTCTGCTTCTCAGAGTGGAGAGGGAGGGGGAGCGAAGGAAATGTTTTTTTTGTTTGTTTGTTTTAATCCTCCAGTGTATAGATCGAAGTGAGATCGTGCGTGCGTATGTGTGTTTGTGTGTGTGTGTGTGTGTGTGAGAGAGAGAGAGACAGAGACAGAGACAGAGAGAGACAGTCAGAGACAGCGAGAGAGGAATAATCTGGAGAAAGCCGCACGGTGGTGGGGCCCGGGGCCGCTAGCCGAGGCGCATGTCCTCCGGCGTGCGGGACTTTGCCTCTTTCGCCGGCTGCGGCGGCCGCGGTCTGAGCGCTCCGAGAGCAGCGAAGCCTCAGTGCCGGGTGCGCGCTCCAGCCCGGCTGTGCGCGCCGCGGCTCCTGGAGGGGGCGGGGGCGCAGGACCGCTCCGCTGGGAGCGTGCCTCGGACCCGGGGTCGCGCGGGGGGCGGAGGGGCGCGGCTGCCGCTCTGGGTCCGGATCCCAGGGTAGCAATTCACACACCGACAATCCTCCCTCTGTCCGCTGCCAGTGGTTTCGCTGCCCTGGAGTTAGAGGGATCCGCTGGGGTTTCCAGTGTTCGCAGAACATTGGAACTCCTTCATCACTTCGGAAGGGAAGGGAAGGGAAGGCCGGACACCCATTGTCCCGCACAGCCAGAGGTTGACCTTTGAGTTTCACCTCTAAGAGTTTTTTTCATTTTATTGTTTTCTGCAGATGCTTAAGTGGGTCCAATCAGAATGCGGTGGGGGCGCCTGGGTACATTGTTTCCCTCCCTTTTTTCTTTCCATTTTCCTAATAAAGCAGTAGACCCCATTGCCTTTGGGAGAGTTGACTCCAAAAAATCTCCAGCCCTGATTGTGACCAGTCTGACCCTGCCCTTTCCCTAGACCCCAACGAAACTGCCGTGCTGGGCACAGCTGTCTGGGGGGACTTTCAACACGGCGGTGGTCCTGCCAGACCGAACCACACAAGTGCCTCCTCCCACAGGGTCGAACGGGAAGATTTTTTATTGCTTGATTGAAGGGTATGCAAAAAATGTATAATGCATACCTTCTGCTGCCTTAGAGCTGGAAATGTCACCCTCATGTGCTCTTTTCTTTGGTGGTGTTCAGAATTAGACTGTGAGCGCCTTGATGGCAGGGAGTTTACCTTTATTACTATAACCCCAGATCCTAGCAAAATGGCCTTAAAAAAAATCAATAGGTGTTCCCTGAATATTTGTTGAATTAATTTGAAGCCAAAAGGAAATAATGAGAAGGTAATTGGTGGTAGTCTCTACACTGAAAATTTATGAGATTTTCATTTATATGATATCCTTTAACTATTAGTACATGTTTTTCGTATATGAGACCCACTTTAGAGCCTTTTAGGAGTCCCATCTAAGGCACAGAAAGCCAAGTTGTGGAATTATCCCATGTATTCTTAGTAACAATTTGAAGTAGGTATCTGTACAGTGTATACTCTTGTGTCCTGTTCTTGTCTCAAAAATAGTATTCTAGCTTTAAAAATTTTAAAGAAAACTTCCTGCACATAAAATTGGGTTCTGAATGTATTTCAAGTGTTACTACGAGTTCTTGCTAATATCCCAGCCTGTGAACATTTGGCTAAATGTGCAAGCTAATGGCAGTTTGCTGTTGCTTCAGGAATAGATTATAGTCATGTAATAACAGATTTTGAAACCATTTAGTGTTTATTCAGAAACACATATCAATATTAAGAAGTTGATCCTTGATCTTATTCTTTCCATGAACAGAAATAGAAATGCTACAACTTTTACAAGAATTATGATGGGGATTGATGGCTGCTCATGTGAGTTTCCATATAGGAAGAAAATTTGGGGGCCATTTTTTTTTGCTAGCATTACAAGAAGTATGCAGGTGTATAAACTGACTGTGCACTGAGAGTTCAGAGAAAGTTTTATTTAATATTGACTGGAGTAGGCAGGAAAGCTTTCCTAGAGATGTGTAGTTAAACAAGAAGGACTAGCAGGGAAAAAAACCATGTCAAAGGCAGTGAGGACAGGAAGGAAAGAAGCAGATGTCATATGCCATTAAAAAAACAGTGTGAATTACATTTGAGCAGATTGAGTGGGGTCAGACTGTGACAAACATTGATTTCCCAGTGGAGCAGCTTATATGTGAAATACAACACAGGAGGGACCACAAAAGAAACTCCTAAGAACTTCTGCTATTTAGGGGAAGCTTGGTTTGCTTAGGGGAATTATGGTGTTCCAGTAGGTTCCAATTATCAAGGATACCCCAGTAGCCTGCAAGAATAATCCAACAACCACCATAACCCTGAGTTTTCTCTTACTGGACAAAAAAATCACATCACTTGTCAATCTTTTGAATTAGATCACCAAACAACAACACTGTTGAAATAAATTTCCCTAGTAAAAAGGGAAGGGGAATATGTGATTTCTGCTAATTTTGTTCTCATAGTTAATATTACTGTCATTCCCTGGGAAGGCACAAAAGCCACCTGGAGGGAGTAGTCATGTTGCTATTGAGGTTTGTATGGGATTCAGGATAGAGGCCAATTCTGTGAGACTGAATGACAGCTGTGGGAAACTGACTGGAGGACCAGTGAATGTGGTTCTGATGATCTCTGGGAGGGATGATGGAGTAGGAGGTTGAGGTCCTTGGAATATAGGTCACTGTAACAGCCAAGGCATGGGAGAAGAGAAGGCATCAGCAGAGCAGAAACATCAAAAATGTACTGTATCTCACAGTTCACAGTGTTACTGGGGTCATAGTCATTTCTGAGACATGGTACCTGATTAATGTGCATTAGCCATTGTGAGTTAAAGTTATGAACTTGCAAAACCACACACCTTCATTCAGAGTATACATATATATATAAATTTATGTATACATGTATTCAGAGAGAATATATGTAGAAAAACAGAGACAGAACAGAAAGAGGCAGAGACAGAGACAAACAGAACCTATATCTAAAACATTAGCTTGGTAAACTAGGTACATTTTATCCTCACCTACATACCATCCTGGAGCATTTTGTAAATCCAAACTCATGTATAAGCCAAAGCTCTGGGAGTCTTATCACTCTCAATAAATATAATATACTGTTTCATATGAACAGTTTAAACAAAGAGATGAGAAGAGATTATATTAGTTGAACCTACAAGGAAAAGGAATATTTCTGGAGGTAGATAGCGGTTGCATAATGGAAGATTTGACAAAAATTTCAAAACTCAAGAGTTTTCTAAAAGAGAACAAATTTGAGGGTCTTTAAAATTTGTTCTTTACATTCAGTTTTTCATTTAATACAATTCTGTTGTGTGTGTTCATTATGTATCACACACTGATGCATAACGAATTATTTCATCTCTGCCATAAAGGGACTCACATTCTAATAGGAGAGAAAAGCATCACTACTAAAATGTCTCTGCATAGTATTGCCTGATAAAAGAGAGGATGCCCAGTGAAATTTGAATTTCAGACACACAATAAATAATTTTTATATACTCTCATGCAATATTTGGGACATTCTTATATTTAAAAAAATTAATGTTTATCTGAAACCCAAGTTTAACTAGTTGCTCTGTATTTTTATTAGCAAAATCTGGCAATCTATTTTGTTGTGTCTGAGAATTTTCTAATATCAGGGTTGGTCACTTGTGATTATAAAATGTCCATAGTTTTCCATAAGTTTCCTTACTCTACAAATTATTTCCAAAGTGTCCCTAACATAAATATAGGTAGATGGAAATGGGGAAAAGGAGATGTTAACTTTGCAGAATCTGTTTGACTTAAATTTGGTGGAAGTGCTTCTTACAACACTTCCATGTTATAACACAGTGACTATAGAATATTGTATAGTCACTGAATAAACTATGAAATTAAATGGGAAGTGAAATATCTGTTTTTCTTATAACAATAAATTGTTTATGTTAGGCTCACATACATTTTTGCTCATTTTTATCCATTGTCATTGAAAAATCTATTTGAACAGATGTTAAATACGAACAGAAGTCACTGAATTGAATCAAATGTTTACAAACTGAGAAAGTCATAGTTATTTCTTTTGAAGTAAAATACAGCTTTGGTAATTATAAGGTGTTTGTCAGAAATAGATCTCATTTTACATGGAACAATGTATTTTAGACTATGAGGCTAGATTTATCTTGTGTTTTACACCTTAAAAATTTTGTTCACATCTGATTGACACAATGACATCTACTTAGTATTCTTGTAATGTGAAATTTCTGAAAACATTAAAGACTAATTTTACTTCCTGTAGCATAGACAAATCTTTTATTTGGATTTGTCCTACTAGAACTTTCTGCTTAAAAAGCAGTTCATTCCTACCTGCCTGAGCTTTGCATCTTTGTTCCTAGTGGCCCAGATGGCCTGTTATTGCATTTTTCCAGTATCAGGCATAAAACAAGTAGGAGGGTCCTCACTGATAGCTCCAGAGCTAAGAGTGATGTGGCACCCTGAGTCCATCTGAAGGAGGCATAATTATGTTTGATAGGAAAACCACAGCATGTTACATTCTTAGCCTTTTAGTATCTTGTCAGGATTGACTGTAAAGTAATTTAAACCTGTTATATTCAAGAATTCAGTGAGAACATTATATTAAAAAACACAAAAAGGTAGGAATCATTTTTTCCATTTCAGGAATATTTGATACAGTACAAGATTCAAGATAATTCTTTCTCATCGTATCAGTAGAATAATATTATTCTGTATTTTGTATATTTTCAATGAAACAGTGGTTATAAAAGATAATCATAAACTTTGAAAATTACTTCTGGATGAATATTACTTAGATTTCAGTTTTTTCTCCCTTAAAAAGAAAACATGTCATCATGGCAAAGATCTTGGGTTTATTCTAAGTTCACTCAGGCAGCTAAAACAAAATACTAGTCTGAGTGGCTTATAATTAGGAATCTATTTCTCACTGTTCTGGAGGCTGAGAAGTACAAGATCAAGAAATTGTTAGATTTGGTGTCTGATGAGGGCCAAATTCCTGGATCATGGATGGCCATCTTCTTGCAAGAATCTCATGTGTTCAAGCGGCAAGGCAGTTCTCTGGAGCCCCTTGTATGAGACATTAATCCTATTCACGAGGGCTCCACCCTCATGACCTAATTATCTCCCAAAGGGCCCACCTCCAAATACCACTGCAATGGGGATTAGGTTTCAACATATGAATTTTGGAGGAAGGACAAATATTCAGCCTGTAGAAGCCCTCCCAAACACAGGATTTGTTAAAATCCTATCTTGAATTGAAAATTTTCATTTGTTGTATGGATAAGCTCATTTGTGTATTTCTTAAAATTAAGGATATTAAGGTTTTTTTGAGGCTCTATATTGAACTAAACTGTTTAATTGATTGACTCATTTTTAAATATTTTGATTCTTTTCAATAGACTTATTTTTTAGAGCAGTTTTTGGTTCACAGCAAAATTGAATGGAAAGTACAGACTATTCCTGTACCTCCTGCCCCAAGACATGCATAACATGCATGGCCTCCCCTCAATCATCAATATCCCACATCAAAGTGGTACATTTGTTACCACGGATGAAGCTACGTGGACACATCATTGTTACCCCAAATGTATAGTTCACATTAGGATTCAACCTTGGTGTTGTGCATTCTATGAGTTTTAACAAAAGTAACATGACATGTATCCACCACTATATTATCACAGAATAGTGTCCTAAAAATCCTCTGTGCTTTGCCTATTCATCCTGCCCTCCTACCTGACAACTACTGATCTTCTTACCATCTTCATAGTTTTGCCTTTTCTGGAATGTTATATAGTCAGAATCATACAATATACAGCCCTTCAAAATCAGCTTTTTTTTTTTTTTTTTTTTTTTTTTTTTTTTTTTGAGACGGAGTCTCGCTCTGTCGCCCAGGCTGGAGCGCAGTGGCGCAGTCGCGGCTCACTGCAAGCTCCGCCTCCCGGCTTCACACCATTCTCCTGCCTCAGCCTCCCGAGTAGCTGGGACTACAGACGCCTGCCACCACGCCCAGCTAATTTTTTGTATTTTTAGTAGAGACGGGGTTTCACCGCCTTAGCCAGGATGGTCCGATCTCCTGACTTCGTGATCTGCCCGCCTCGGCCTCCCAAAGTGCTGAGATTACAGGCGTGAGCCACCACGCCCGGCTAAAATCAGCTTCTTTCTTAATAAGAAGTTATGGTTCCTCCATGTCTTTTTATGGCTTGATAGTTCATTTCTTTTCAATGCTGAATAATATTCCATTGTCTAGATGTAGTACAGTTTGTCTATTCACCTACTGAAGGACATGTTGGTTGCTTCTAATTTTGGCTGTGATAAATAAAACTGTTATAAACATCTGTATTCAGGTTTTTGTGTGAGCATAAATTTTCAGCTCATTGGGGAAATACGAAGGAGCTTGATTGCTGGATCATATTATAAGAATCTGTTTAGTATTATAAGAAACTGCCATTTTTTAAGTGGCCGTACCATTTTGCATTCCCACCAGCAATGAACGAAGGTTTCTTTTGCTCCACATCTTCATCAGCATTTGGTATTCTCAGTGTTTTGGATTTTGACTCTTTTAATAGATATGTTGTAGTAGTATCTCATCATTGTTTTGATTTGCAGTTTGCTAATGAATTATGATCTTGAGCATCTTTACATATGCTTATTTGCCATCTGTATGTCTTCTTTAGTGAGGTGTCTGTTCAGGCTTTTTGCGCATTTTAAAATCAGGTTTTATATTTTGGGTTTGTTTTTTTATCTTTTCATTTTGAACTAATTTCAGACTTACTGAAAAGTTGTAGAACTAGCACAAAGAAATTCTGTATACCCTTTATCCATACTCTCCAATTAATATTTTACCTTTGTTATTCTCTCTACTCTGTTCTTTCTTCATTCTGTATGTCTATGCCTATATCTATCTCTCTAACCACATATCTATCTATCTATCTATCTATCTATCTATCTATCTATCTATCCATCCATTCATCTGTATCTATAGCTATAAACTTAAAAGACCTTCTTGGCAAAGTAATTGGATTCATTTAACCTTCTTCACCAACCACTCCTCAGGCTGTTGTTCTTCGGTGGCTTCTTGATCTTATCAAAGAAGCTTTTGTTGATTCTAGAATGTTTATTGAAAACCCAATTTATAATCACTTAGAAGAGGAATTAATTATTATTAGGAACCATCTTGGGTTATTTAAGGATAAGCCTTACTAGAGTCATATTGCTTCCTTAGAAAAGTTGCTCTTAATCTTTAAGATGTTTATTCTCAGGTACAAATCCCGTTCTCCAACTCCCATTCATCTTGTTTCTGGCTGTGTCCCTCTTGGATAAAACTTTGCACCCGCCTTCCTACTGAATGTGCTGCCATTAGTCTTTCTATGTTTTAGTCCATGCCCAATACCAGAGTAATCTTTATAAAATGAGTATCTAATATGGAATATACACCAGTAAATAGGGACCAGCGTTAGTAATTGTTTCCAGAGATTCAAAAGTAGTACCCAAGGAGAATTAATCTGATTCTATAGTGGGAGCTTTTATTTGAGGAGATTATGTAAGTCAGCAGTATGCTATATTATTCATTATCGGTTGTGTCAAGATAAGTATTCGTCGTACTGATAGAATTGTATATTTTAGAATAGGAGAAGTGATTCCTCTTCTACATTATGCTGGTCCTGAGCTAGCGATGATATTTCAACACGGGCACAACTTGCTCCCTTCTCTTTGCCCCACCACCACCTTTATTATAGATCATGATGGAAGAATCATATTTTTCTTCTCTCCAAACACCCCTGATCTTAACTTCATTATTGAAATAACTTGCAAGGCAATATATCCTCAAATTTGTATGAAATTACAAAGATCCATATGACCAAATATAGGTTTATTGCTAATTTCATTTATTTGCCATTTAAAGATTAAAAAAAAAACCCTTCTGCCTATTATATCAGAGACAAACATGAGATTTAAAGTCTTTCTACAAGCTTAATTTAAACATCAATATCTGCCTGCTCACTAGGCCTTTGAAAAATGTCCAGGATATTTTAGATTAGAAAGTAAATGTATAAAACAAGATCTATAAATTAAAGAATCAGCACTGGATGGGGTCACTGGAATGAGTTGCTCTATTTCAGATTACAGACATTTCTGATAAATGGTCATTTTGCTGTTTTGTTTTTTGTTTTTGTTTTTTTGCCTATCTCCAAGCAAAAATAATTCACAATCACCCTAGATGATCCACTATATTTTTGACCATATTAAAAACCATTCACCTTTATATTTAGCCAAAGTATTTTTCTCTCTATTCCTGCCATCCATTTAACTTTAGGGACCCGGAACAAATCTTTCCCCTCTATTTGTAAAGAGAACTTTCCTTCTAATTCCAGATGTTGTAATTTTTTTCTCTTGCTAAATTCTAATTCTCCCAAGCTTGATCTGAACTCCCTGACTCTTCTGGAGGCAATAGTCCATCAGTTCTTTCTTTTCTTTTCTCTATTTATTTATTTACTTATTTATTTATTTTTGAGACGGAGTCTCGCTCTGTCACCCAGGCTGGAGTGCAGTGGCACACCTCGGCTCACTGCAAGCTCCGCCTCCCAGGTTCACAACATTCTCCTGCCTCAGCCTCCGGAGTAGCTGGGACTACAGGCGCCCGCCACCATGCTCGGCTAATTTTTTGTATTTTTAGTGGAGATGGGATTTCACTGTGTTAGCCAGGATGGTCTCCATCTCCTGACCTTGTGATCCACCCGCCTTGGCCTCCCAAAGTGCTGGGATTACAGGCGTGAGCCACCACGCCCGGCCTATTTATTTATTTTCGAGATGGAATCTCACCCTGTTGCCCAGGCTGGAATGCCATGGCATGATCTCGGCTCACTGCAACCTCCGCCTTCTGGGTTTAAGCAATGCTCCTGCCTCAGCCTCCTGAGTAGCTGGCATTACAGGTGCATGCCACGACACCCAGCTAATTTTTGTATTTTTAGTAGAGACGGGGTTTCACCATGTTAGCCAGGCTGGTCTCAAACTCCCGACCTCGTGATCCTCCCACCTTGGCCTCCCAAAGTCCTGGGATTACAGGCATGAGCCACCGCACCCGGCCCATCTGTTCTTTCAATCTCTCCCACTCCCTATTTATTTTTTTCGCCAAGCTATCATTATCTTTTTCCGAAAACAAAACAAACGAACGAAAAAAAAACACCTCTCTTGTCACATTACAGCTAGAGTTCCAGATGCCTTTCTTCATATTTTCTGGTAAGGATAGAGTTTAGTCATTATCTCCACCTCTTAATTTCCCTTCAAGCCACTACAATTAGGTTTCTGCCTTTCTAATTCTATTAATAGTGGTCTTTAAAAGATAAAAATATCACATTCTAATGGTCTTGCACATGCGGGACACTCAAAACAAAAACTCATCATTCCTCTAAAACTGGTGCTTTCCACAAAACCAAGAATTCTCCTAGCTCCTTCTTCCTCAACATTCCCATCTAATCAGTCACTAAATCCTACAGTTTACTCTTAATTTCCAGTCTGTTTCTAGATATTTTTTTCTTACATATTCAACAGACCTGGCATATATTCAGTGTTTTAAAAATATTCAAATATATGAATGAATTCATTGAAGAAGGGCAGCTGCCAAGCCAGTATTACCAGCTCCTCTTGCCTGCTTATAACAAGGTTCTGGCACATGTCTCTGAAGTTTCTGTCAGTTTCTGGACACTAGATTAGGCCCTCAGATTAAGGCATCTTCTTTCGCTTGACTTACAGGCTGGTTTCCTATAACAGTCTTAGACTGTTCATAACCTACTTGCCTTGACTTAGAACTTAGTGGTTTTTGAGTTTGCAGTTCTTCAACTGATAGTGTGGGCTAGCAGACCTAGAACAACTCCAGAGGATTTCCTGGCTTATTTTAATCTTACCCTCTATTTTTTTCTTCACAATTAAATCCTCCTCCCCTGATTTTGTTCAAGCAAAGAGGCAGCCAGACCTGAAGACTGTGAACTTTCCCTGAAGTGTTGCCAATATTCGGCCTTTAGTTATTTTAAATTTGAGAGTTAAGAAATATCTCTATTTCTAGGCTGTTTCAAAACTCTGACATTTGCCATTGGTCATCTTCTCTAAGCATCTGCTTCTCCTACATGATTTCTAGACAGCTTCTCTTATTCGTTAAAATAAGAACAGAAGCTGAGGAGGCTTACAGCCCTAGAAAATTCTCTCATTACTCTCATAAGAAAGAATATAACTCAAATAGAAAATGTGCAATTGAGAAACTAGTACAAACTAAGGTTCCAGAAAATTAATTATCAGTCCTCTACTTTATCTCCTTCTGTCATACTAGTGACTATAGCCACAATTTCATGGCACATATTGGGTGCCAAGTTTTGTTATAAAAGCGTCATATATAACTGCTTAATCTCTATAGCAAACCTATGATGTGGGACTTATTACCATCTTTCCAATCTCACAGGAAAGCAGAGGCAGAATGATTTGTCTAAAGTCACACAGATCGTAAGTGACAGACCTTGGATGTGAACTCATACTTAATCACTAATCTACACTGCTTCTCCTTGAGAACGCTTAGGAGGTTCCACACCAACTAATTTGTTGCCAAACTCAGACCAGAAAATGTGTGCCTACTTTGTTTTGCTGATATGTAGTACATTTTACAAAGCTTACCCAATGTCTAATGTCAGTAACACGTGTGTGATGTGAGAAATAAACAGTATTCTGGGAATTAAAATATGCTGTCTGCCCAAATAAGATTATTATGAGCTTGAAAAGGATTTCTGGCTTTTATTTCTTTTCAGTTACCCGGTAGAGATATTTTGGAACATAATCCCTGAAAGGACTTGGGAAGTCAATATAGCAGATTTGAGCAGAAAAAGACATTGCCTCTCTCAGGGATGGTGAGACAGTGCAGGCTCTCTCCTAGTCCTTGCCTCATACCTGAAGTTACTAGGGACTGAGAGTAAACACAAGAATAGACATAAAACTCAAGTGACATTAAAGGATTCACTTATGGGACCACTCATGCCTTTAAATTTTAAATAAGAATACCCTGAGATCCCATGCTGTGTGACTGCAGAAAGTCATTGCACAGCTAGACTGTAGTGATTATAAAATTCACTGAAGACGTGAGGAGACTGTGAGAGAATTACATTGCAGAAAGGGACATGTAAAGCATGATATCACTGAATGTTCTATGTAGTTTTATAGGGAAGGTATTTAACTTGCTGGCCACCTCTTTAGATTGCAGCCTAACACCTTTCATTCTTGCAATTCATTCATTCCACAGGTATTTTTTCAGCATTTATTTGTGCTAGACATTGTGTACACAATGGAGAAGTTTATAATTTAGAAAATTTTTTCATTGTACTTAAATTTAGAATTAATTGTCTCATACTCTCCTTTCCAGATTAGGGCAACGACCTTAACTTTATAAACCAAAAGTCCCCTAAAATTGTTTTACTTAACTAAAGACCAATCAGCACCCAAAGATAAATTCTACCTGTTGTAGCCGCTGAACAAATGTTTTGAAATAGTCTCTGTGTCCCCACCCAAATCTCATCTTGAATTATAGCTCCCATAATTTCCATGTGATGTGGGAAGGACCTGGTGGGAGATAATTTAAACCTGGTGGTTACCCCCATACTGTTCTCATGGCAGTGAATAAGTTTCATGAGATCTGATGGTTTTAAAAGGGGAAACCCTTTTCACTTGGTTCTCAATTCTTTCTTGTCTGCTGTCACGTAAGATGTGCCTTTTACCTTCCACCATGATTGTGAGGCCTCCCCAGCTGTGTGGAACTGTAAGTCCACTAAACCTCTTTTTCTTTATAAATTACCCAATCTTGGGTATGACTTTATCAGCAGCATGAAAATGAATTAATACAGTCTCTTGCACTATGAAATCAGAATTACCCAAGGTAGAGCAAGGACCTGATACATAACAAAGGAAAGAATTAAGGCATAAAAGATTAAAGGTGGGCTGATTAACACCAAATGTACTAAAACATAAGAAAAAGATTTTTAAGACTTTTCCATTAAAGTAACAAAAATGCTAGCACTACAGTAAACAAAAATAAAAAGAACATATTAATGCAAACATTGAGATAAATACATTATATAAATAAGTTCATATTTATAGAGGTAATAAGAGGAAGTTCTAAAAGCTAATGAGAATGAAGATAAAAGGAGAAATATTTTAAGAATAAATAGATACCAATAATAAGGGAAATATAATAAATACATAAATAACAAGGGATCTACAAGACCACAAGGTACAGAGGTGGCAAAAGATGAAAAGAAGAGTAGTTTTTAAAAAATGCACAGTATGCTAAAAATATTTTAAAACTACATAGACAGTGCCAAGCTAAAGCTTTTAAAAATAAAATTCTAAGAATGTGAAAGAGATAAGTAAAGTAGGCAAACTACCCCAGTGTTTCACATGGGTCTCTGATCCTTTACAGCTTGCAAAGCTTGGGTTACCTTATTCAGGTCCTCAAGGCTGGAGAACAAAGGGGCAATATTGGGACCCTTTTTTTCTACCCTGAAGCTTTGAGCATCTGATTAACTTCCAAAATCTTATCAGAAAGACATAATAATAGTAATATTTATCCTTTATTGACTATCAACTCTATGCCAAATACGTTAGCATCTGTTATCTTTAATTCCTCCCAAATTCTGCCAATGAGATAGATCATTTCCCCATTTCATGGATGTTCCCCAGGGCTCAGAGTTTAGCATTACTCAGAACCAAAGAAAATGTGGTGGTGGAATTGTAATTAAAACTCGAGATTCTCTGATTCCAGAGTGTATCCTCTTTCCATAAATACACCTTGAATTTAGTCGGCCATAGGAAGGCACCTTTCTTAAGCAGCAGTACCCGCTTCTTACCATATCACCGACTGAACACCTGCAGTTCAAACTGAATTGGCAAGTTTCCTGCTAGCTTCATATTCCAGTGATACTGGTTCTTCTTAGCATTTATGTCTTTATATCTTTAGATAGATAGATAGATGTACATATATACTTATATATACACATATATTCATATATGTATAGATATATATCTTCATATGTATATGAAGATATATATCTTCATATGTATATGAAGATATATATCTTTATATGTATATGAAGATATAAAGATACATATCTCCTTATATACATAATATGCAACTGAAAAATTAAAATTTGAAGATCAAGCATGTTTAACAACATGAAGGAGTGCCTAAAAATGAGGATAAATTAAAATAACAAAAAATAAAATGAGGGCCAGGTGTAGTGGCTCACGCCTGTAATCCCAGCACTTTGGGAGGCCGAGGTGGGCGGATCACGAGGTCAGGAGATTGAGACCATCCTGGCTAACACGGTGAAACCCCATCTCTACTAAAAATACAAAAAAATTAGCCTGGCGTGGTGGCAGGCGCCTGTAGTCCCAGCTACTCCGGAGGCTGAGGCAGAAGAATGGCGTGAATTCAGGAGGTGGAGCTTGCAGTGAGCCGAGATCGCTCCACTGCACTCTAGCCTGGGCGACAGAGTGAGACTCCATCTCAAAATAAATTAATAACTAAAAATAAAAATAAAATAAAATGGGGAAATAGGTCATGCAAAGTATGTCAGTCAACACTGGCTACGTAATGTTGCAGTAACAAGGAGTGTCTTGCTAACTTGCAGCCTGTTATGTGTTCAAGTAACTCTACAAACTACCTGTCTTGGATGTGTTTATTCAGTAACCCAAGGTGCTTTCAGCTTTTGGCATTTTCTTTACATGTGTTGTCGTCATTTCAGAGAAACAGTGTGCTGGTTGTTCTTGCACTGTCAACTTAAATACCTCCACACAGATATGGCATATATGGCTTCCCTTCCAACCCACTGGCTTTCCAATGTGCCTAGAAGGAGAGGAGAAATAAATATGGAAAGGAATAGAGATGTCCCCTGCATAGAAAAGAGAGAGAGAGAAGAGGGAGGCAAGGATAGGAGAGAGTGAGAGAAAAGAGAGAGAATATGAGAGTACAAAATAAAATGATATGAAGAAACCCCAAATCAATAGAGTACACTTTGTGATTGCATAATGGTTTGATAATTGCTTTGCTATCTTAGGTTTTGAACATAAAACAATTCTAAAGTCTTTCAGAGAAAAAAATATGAACAATCTCCAGTGTCAAAACTGAAACAGCTCACAGAATGTTAACCCACTTCCTTTATTAATCTTTGAGATGTTGCTCTATCCCAGGCTTCTGTAGGAGGTTGAAGAGAGTGGATGAATAAGGGCGAAGGGACTGAAAGTGACAGCAAAACAAACAGTATGTATTAAAAAAGCAAATCACTTCTCTGATTATTTCTTACTTTTTTCACTTTTGAGAAGAAAAAGTTGATGTCATTTATATAATTTAAGATCATGAAGGCATGACCTGTTGTCAGCTTGTATTTATAGCAGCACCAGTCATTCTATTGCTGCTTAGAAAAATTTAAAAAATGCTTTTGCCACTTTTAACTTGAGCCACATTTTCTTCATTCCACAGTCAGATTACAGTTTTAAAAAGAACTATTGCTGGAAATAAGAACTACTGCTGGAAATAAGAACTATTGCTGGAAATAAGAACTACTGCTGGAAAAAGCCCGAGGAAAGAACATGGTGCTTCAGCTCAGTTGAGCAACATGGTGTTCTTATTGGTTACCTCCCAGCACTAATATGATCTTGGTTAGATTACAAATTGAATTGTCTTTCCAGATTTTTATGTACTTGTAACAGGTTATTGAAGAATATAGACTCATAGAGGTAAAAATATAAGAGAGTTAATTTTTTCCATGAACTGTTCTCTATAATTACCAAGTTGCAAATTACTTTTCACATCCCTTATTGCATCTTGGTCAGAGTTGGTAAGGTTTCTGGACACTTTCGTTTTAAGAAAACTTACTCCAATAAAATCTGCAACTTCAACATCATATAAAGTCAAACTTCTTCTTTCCCTCCCTACCTTCCTCCCAAGGGATGGTTAGACTCAAGTGCCCTCGTCATGGAGTATTCTTCTTACAGGATTTTCTAAATTATCTAAGAGCTCTGACTCCTCTGGACTTGGAATAGAGTGCCAGAGAAAAATGGCCTATATCTCCTCACTTATCTTTACAATGACACAATCCTCTTCTTATTGATTCTTGCCACTTCTCTATCACTGATTGGCTGTCTGTGTCTTTTGAAGGTATTCAAAGTCTAACTCTTGTGGGTTGGGTGAATATGTGGATTCTTTGGAGCTTCCGTACTGCAACATTTTCTGATGTACATGATCCAGAGTTGTCTCTGCCTTTCCCCCTTAAAGCCTACAACCATTGATCCATCCCAGAGACCCTTGTGGCTGGCTACCCTATAGCTTACCATGGGAATCCTTTTTGGATAAAGTACTAGGAAGATAACTGAAGCCCAGTTACCTTTTCAGCTGTCCATTCCATCCCTAAGAGTGTTAAGCAGAATAATGGTTCCCTTCCACCCCACCAAATATTTCCACATCCTAATTCCTGGAAGCTGTCAATAAGTTATGATATATGGGAAGAGTTAAGGTTACAGACAGAATTAAGGTTGCTAATTGGCTGACCCAAAGTTAAGTTGATTATCCTAGATTATCCATGAGAGTTTGAGTAATCACAAGGTCCTTAACAGTGGTAGAGGGAAGCAGAAGCATAAGTTAAATTGATGTGATGTGAAAAAAACTCAACCAGCTGCTACTGGCTTTGAAGATGAAGAAGGTCACCAGCCAAGGAATGTGGGTGATCCTTAGAAGCTGGAAAGGGCAAAGAAATGGGTTATTTCCTAGACAGACCAAAATAGAGGGCAGTTCTATTGACACCTTGACTTTAGCCTGGTGAGACCCATGTCAAACTTCTGACCTACAGAAATGTAAAATAAATCTGTGTTGTCATGGCAATTTGCTATGACAGCTATAGAAAACTAACATACTAGATATCCCTTGTATCCTTGCCATGCCCAACGCTGGTGTCTGCTCCACTTGGCTGTCTAATGTTCTTTTAGCCTTGTGTTTACTTTCCCTACCTCAGGTAAACATACAGACTAGCAATTCTGCAGCCTGGGCAGATATCTGAGCAGGGAACAAAATGGCACTTTCTCATTCATGTAGGCAGTGCCCATCTTTTTTATTTTTGAGTTTGCTTTCCGTTAATATGTAAATGCTTAGTTAGTACAAATATTCTACAAAGTTCTTTGCAAAAAACACAGCAACCTCTTTCCGTCAATGCCCTTCACCATTACCTGCTTTCAAGAGGCAACCAACTTTAATTTATTTAGCTCTCTCTTTTGGTGGTTGTTTCTAAACCTCTATGTGGCATGCTCATATGGCTACTTCTTAATCTTTATAAATATGCTGATTTCCCCAAATGAAAAACTTAAATATGCCTTAGCTACATCCTTGTCCACCATATACAAACTTTCCTCCCTCCCTCCCATTCTTCAAGAGTTACATTAAAATTTTCATTTGATCAATGTTAAGAATTTTTATTTTTATGACCATGAAAATACCATTCATATATGATTGTTTTCTTTCCTCATAATTTCTGGAATAATTATTACCTTTCCTTTTTATTTTTCCTGATTTTCTATCTCTGATTTCTCAATACTTTCAGACTCAATAGATGTTCTGATTTTTGCTACTTCTTGAGAAAACGCTTCCATAAAATTCTGATCTGCTTCAATCTGGACTAGTTTCTTCCAGGTCCCTGAAACTTTTCCTTCTGGGACCTCCACTGACCTTCTTCCTGGAGATTCTTGTCACCTCCTCCTTGTGCCAGATTACCTGTTTCCAGGGTTCACTACTGAGAAAGTGTGCACCTAAGGAGAATTCTGAGGACTTTGTCTATTTAGAAACATCTTTACTCTTATCTTGAATTAATTTTGGCTGAGTGTTGAATTCTAAGTTTAAAATCATTTTTGATCAGAATCTTGAGGTAACTGCTCTATTTTTTTTTTTTTTCTGGTTGTCAAGCTCTTGATGCTTCCAAAGCCATTCAGATTTGTGGTATTCTGTCTCTCCCATATCAGCACATATGATTCTGTGTGACAAACAATGGAAGTATTAAGGTTTATTGGATAAATACTTATGTAAGACCATCAATCAAATAAATCACACATTATATTTTAAAGGATTTCAATTTTTTTTTTACTTTTTAAAATATTCAATTGTTTAAAACATTTTTAATGCTAGTTCTAACTCCTTAACATATGCACATCATAAATTCTCAGGAGTCAAGGTTAAATGGTATCATAATCAATGATTTACAATTCTGTAACATCACTTTCCTTTTTAATGCTCTCTGATTCTATTTAAGGAATTCGCCTTGGAACTCCATCTATTTCCAGCAACAATCATTTTTATTCCTTTTCATTGTTTTTTTTTTCTTTTACATCTTTCTGAATTTATTCATCATTATAATTTATTTTTCTATATGATGAAACATAGACTTGTTGCTCTATTAATTTTTGCATACCAGGATCTCCTATTTTTTACTTCCTTTGCCTTTTTTTCTGACAGGATGGTACTGTCAGATTTTCTCAATGACAAGATTATACAAAAGACAACCCCTTTGTTATAATGTTTAGTTTGTCTAGGACTCTTTTTCACCACCGCTTTTGGTCTTACAAGCTTACTGCAGGTGAGATGTTGGTAAAATAGACTTTTCTTCTCCTAGATATCTTGCATATGTCTGCAATCAATATTTTATAATACCACTTTTTGGAAACGTTTAAAAGGTTAGAGTTATAATTTCTGTAAGCCAATAACCTCACAGCAAAATAAAATAGTAAAATTGTGTTATACTGCCATAAATTGATAATTTATATTAATCAGAGAGCTTACATAGCAAGGTGAAGCTTCCATCTCTGTTTAAGATGATAACTACATTTTGTAGATGACCAATCAGGAAAGCAACGTAATGGGAGTAAGTGCTGGTTTTGCCTGGAATTGAGCCATTCTTGTTCAGAGCAAAAGGGAAGAAAGAACTCTAGCAGAGTGATATCAAATAATGAAAATTTTTCTTTAAGTGCTGTACCTATGATGTTATAGTTTGAGACGCACCTCTGCGGAGCACAGCTTAATGACAGGCCACTTGGTGTGGTGAGCTGGCTACTCCCTTCTGTGTGGGCCTAGGACCTGGTACCTCAGTCAAGGGTATCTGCAGTTTGAGAGCACTCTTGAACAAATAGCCAAATGCCATAATCTACCTTAGTGGTGTTTTTATATTCCATGAAGCCAAAATCCATTAAAAATATTCTGCATTTACATTTGTGTTCTTAATTTAATGGTTGAGTTATCATGTCTATTGTTATGAGTATTTTTTAGCCAAACAAATATACTAAACAATATCTACTATTGGGGGCATAAATTAGTATAGTCACAGTATAACTCTAACCCAGTTAACACGAAAGAAAGCTTAGCACCAAATAAAAAGCTATTGGATTGACAAAGAAATGTTTGCCCAGCCATTGTCAACTCAAATAAAAATATTTATTAATCGCCTGCTTTGTACATTATACTAGAGACCTTACAGATGGGAGGAGAAGAGTAGTACCAAGAAGCATGAGAAATGTCTCTCTTCCCTCAAGGTTCTAAGTTAATGAATGCTGGTTAATATTAGCCAGTTGGACATTAAGTGAAACACATATTGTACATGTATGCATATGTTGCTTTTTTGCTCTCTGTAAATATAGTGTAGGAATGTTAGAGTCGTTGGTATAAACATGCATACGTATAAGCAACTGAGTTATAGCTGCAGCTATAATTCTTATAATGCTTTTGTTTAAAAATTTTTGAAGTGGTTTTGAATATGCCCAATAATATAAAATGTACTCTACATTAGGAAATTGAATTTTTGATTATTATGGGCCCTCTATTATCCTATCTGATGTGCTGATTATTTTAAGCTGTCATTCAGGATAAATGAATTGCAAAGTACAATGAGCCAGGCCTGCATCGTAGGTGAACTAAAACAAGTGTAAATGTGCACTGAAATGGTATTTTAGAGCAAATTTCACAGGGCTAATTGTGCTTCCAAGTTATCTCTTTTATGAGTCAAATCTAACCAAAGAATTGAATATCATTTAGTTATATATTTTAAAAATGCAAGCTAAATCAAAATATATTGCTATAATATAGGGAAATACTAAATAAAATAAGTACAAACTTTTCTGATAATTATGCAGATAAGTTAGAGCATGTTATATAAAATGCATATGATTATTGTATTTTTCATAAATTTGAGAAATTTGCCACAGAATATGCAAGAACCCTGTGGGATTCACTCAGTTTTATAAATAAAGACAGCTCTATATTTTTAATATATAATCCTTAAGCGAGATACAAGGGAAACATATACGTTGTATATGTAGAGGGAATAATCATGATATTATCTAAAATTTTGGTTGTTGTATGTCACTACATTTTATACAGATAATGGTAGGAAACTCCATGTGGCAGGATTTTATTTTTATAAAGTGGCTATTATTTTATTAAAATTCACTTGGGAAATTCTCAGTGCCATGAACTGTCTTAATTTAATACTCTTTAAAAATTTTATTCTCAAATTTTTGCCTAAAATATCTGTTGAAAATTACATTCCCATTTAAGAAATAACAGACAATATTCCTTCAATTCATTTAACTGTTTTCTGACAAACATAATAAACTTCTAAATATCATTTAGTATAATCGGTTTTATCATATAATGCTTTGTTTTTTAATCAATGCCATGAATAAATACTCGATTTAAGCAGAAATTGTATTACATCCAGTACTAATTATCTCTAAAGTTAAGTTCCCAATTTATCTTTGGATTTGTTACTATTGAGGCTTTAATTACTTAGAATTAAAAATGGGATGAACAAAAGTAAGCAATAGTGGAGCCACCCTATGCTGAAAGTACATTTTCTGACTTTTGCGAATTATGACATACTGACTTGCTTTGCTTATGAGAGAAGCTGAAAAACATGCCAAATATGGCAATAATTCAATGGGAATTGGGAAACCACTACAATTTCAACATTCTTTATACCTTCTGTATCAGCCTAGACAATATCTCATAAAACGAGGGGAAAATGTCATTATGCCATAATTTAGTGGTATGTTATACTTCTGGATGCAAAATTTATACTTCTGATTTTTTTATTACTAAAGTGAGAATATCAGATTCTTAAAATTATTATGATATAGAATAAGGAGAAAAGATATTAATTCTGATTCTATGCAGAAATGGGGGAAAATAGCAAAGGGAACAAGTTCTGAGACATCCAATAAAAATAGCTTGCCATCCATATTAGTTATCTGTTGCTGCATAACAAATTACCCTAACATCTTATCAGCTTAAAGAAACTAACGTTATTATTTCACATCATTTCTGAGGATTAAATATCTAAGAGTGACTTTGCTTAGTGATTCTGGCTCAGGGTCTTTCATGGGATTGCAGTCAAGCTGTTGGCCAGGAGGGCTCCAGTTTCTGGAGACTTAAGTGAGCCAGAGGATCTGCTTCCAAGTTCATTCCCATAGCTATTGACAGGAGGCTTTAGTTCTTCACTACGTGCTGCTCATAACATGACTTTCCCCAGTGGTCCAAAATGAATGCTGCATACTGTTATAAACTACCATCAGAAGTGACACATCTTCACTTCTACCTTAGTATTGAGGTCACACAGACCAACCCTGGTACAGCGTGAGAAGATACTACACAAGGATGTGAATACCAGGAACAAAGCTCATTGGGAATCATCTTGGAGGCTGGCTACCAACACCATCTTTCTTTCCTTCCTTTATTTATTTATTCATTTATTTGTAAACATTCATTAAGTCCCTTTCATGTGCCAGGAACTGTGCTAGATATTGGAGATACAAAAATAAACAAAGTAGACATGGTTTCTATGCTTATGGAGACTCAATGATTAAAAGTATGTTTAGGGAGCCCACACACTATCTCAAAGTCTCTCACAGTATTATGTATTTCTTTTTTTTTTTTTTAACTTTTATTTTAAGTTCAGGGGTACTTGTGTAGGTTTGTTACATAGGTAAACTTGTGTCATGGGGGTTTGTGGTACAGATTATTTCATCACTCAGGTATTAAGCCTAGTTCCTATTAGTTATTTTTCTTGACCCGCTCCCTCCTCCCACTCTCCACCCTCTGAAAGACCCCAATGTATATTGTTCCTCTCTATGTGTCCAGGTGTTCTCATCATTTAGCTCTCACTTAGAAGTGAGAACACGAGGATTTATTATGTATTTCCTCAACATGGCCTTAGTGCCTATCTGATTCCATGACTGTGGGAGCCATTCCTACCTCAACTAATACACTTTTTCTTTTCTGATAATTTTCACTCACTTCCAGCTTTTATTACTACACACTCTATGCACACCATGGAACTTTTCTTCTTTTAATGCCACTTCACCTCCAAAAGTGCTAATTTAAACAATCCACTCTTTAATCACAATTGATATTCCAAATTCCTTATTTAACTAGTTGTATTGGGATTGTGCTTCCACACAATTATGATTTCTAGTCCATTTATCTTTATATTTCTTTCCGTCTCTCAGACATCTCCTGTCTTCACTTCCCTTCCTTTCCTTGGTCTCTACAATCTATTATTTTAAGTTTCCTATTGCCAATATTCCAGTTTACTTCCCCTTGTTAGGGAAAACTTCAAACCAGGATTAACCCAATTATCTCTTTTTTATTATGCCTTTGGGTGACAGATACTACAAGAAAAACTCAAAGCAGGGTAAATAGGTTTCCCTATTACTTTGTATTAATCAAAGTCAAATGTATTCCAACTATATCAGAAGCCTGATTTCATTTTTCAAGTCAGTTTGTTTTCCATTTCCTTTCCACTATCCTTACTCACATCCTTAGCTTTCATCAGAAAACTTCCAAAGAGGAAATTGAAGCCACCATCTGGAGTTTCCTCAGCTTTGTTCCACTGTATTTCCAAATGTAATTCTGGTTGATCTCATTCTGTCTTCCATCTTTCTTCCTTTAATGATGGAAATTCATGGCTCTGAACTTCAGGTGAACCTTCCCCATTTACCTGGATCACATTTCTTGCTCTATGTCCTCACCTCATCAGTTACTATCTAGCTATTCTGGTTTTCCACATCTCATTATTAGGTTTTGCCTTCAGTATTATTTTAAGTCTAGGATATTTTTTTTGAGTTAAAAAAAATTAAACCAACCCTTCTTGAACCACATTTCTCTTTCATGCATGATTTTTTCTCCTTTATAATTTTTTATTTACACTCACACCTCATCCATTTTCCTTAAAATTGGATTTTGCTAAAATTAACAGTGTCTTCTATGTTACTAATTCCAATGAACACCCTGTTAGTTTTTCTTAACCTCTGTCAACTCTCAACTCAATTAATGATTTCATCTTTCTTGAAATGCTCTTTTTCCTTGACTGCAGTAATATTGCATTTTTTTAAGTTTCATTCTTATCTTAGTGGAAATTATTAATCCACATTTTGGGGGCTCTTTCTCCTCTACTATCTGACTATAAAACGTTAAAGTTCTTAGTTCACTTCTCTTCTCTCTCTACAATATCTAGGTGATCTTAGTCCCTCTTGATAGATTAAGGTGATGAAAGCTTCTGTAGCACATAAATACCAGATTTCAATGACTTGTGTTAATAACCATTAATATTTTGGTCACATTGTATCCCATTATGGGCACTTCCAATCAGTAGGTCTTCTACATATTGATCCAGAGATTCAAGTTCCTTCTATCTTAAAGATTTTCTCTCTTACAAATACAAGATGTTTCCATTCTTTTGGCAGATGAAAAAGAAATATTTGCAACTCATGTAAGACTGTATGCTATTTTTAAAATATATAGGGATCTCATTCAAATCAATAGGAAAAAGACTAGGAACTCAATAGAACACCATGCCAATGATATAAATAGTCTTAATCCAAGCTCCAAAGACTGAGTGGCTAAGTGGACTGAGAGTTGTGGGCAAGAAGTCAAGGGAAAAATATCTTCAACCTTCCCAAATCTCAACTGAAGTCAATGGAGGAAGGGTTGAGGAGAGGTCACTGGGCATTAGTTTAGAATGTCATTGTTGACTTTTGACAAAGAAGTGTAGGTAGAGCCTTTGAGAGTGGAAGTCAGATTTCAGTATGCTGGTGAGTGCTGCAGAGTTCAGTAAGCAGAGGCAGGAATGTTGACCATTGTCAATAACTTCACTTTTTAAATAAAACAATATTTTATTTGATAAAATTGCTTTGTATTCTATGAATTTTTAAGTTTTTTAAGTTCAGGGATACAGGTTTGTTATATAGGTAAACTCATGTCAGGGTGGTTGTTGTACAGATTATTTTGTCACTCAGGTATTAAACTCATTAGTTATTTTTTTCCTGATCCTCTCCCTCCTCCCATCCTCCACCCTCTGGTAGGCTGCAGTGTCTGTTGTTCCTCTCTAGGTGTCCATGTGTTCTCATCATTTAGCTTCCACTTATAAGTTAGAACATGTGGTATTTGGTTTTCCGTTCCTGAATTAGTTTGCTAAGAATTATAGCCTCCAGCTCCATTCATTTTCCTGCAAAGGATATGAACTCATTCTTTTTTATGGCTGCATAGTATTCCCTGGTGCATATGTGCCACATTTTCTTTATCTGGTCTATCACTGATGGGTATTTAGGTTGATTCTATGTCTTTGCTGTTGTGAATAGTGCTGCAATGAACATATGCATGCATGTATATTTATAATAGAACAATTTATATTCCTTCGGGAATGTACCCAGTAGTGGAATTGCTGGGTTGGATGGTAGTTCTGTTTTCAGCTCTTTGAGAAATCACCACACTGCTTTCCACAGTGGTTGAACTAATTTATGCTCTGACCAACAGTGCATAAGCATTGCTTTTTCTCTGCAACCTTGCCAGCACCTGTTATTTTTTGACTTTTTAATAAGAGCCATTCTGACTGGTGTGAGATGGTATCTGATATGGTTGGCTTTGTCCCCACCCAAATATCATCTTGATTTGTAATCCCCACAATCCCCACATCATAGGAGGGACCCAGTAGGAGGTAATTGAATTATGGGGGCGGTTTCCCCCATGCTGTTCTCCTGATAGTGAGTGAGTTATCATGATATCTGATGATTTTATAAGCATCTAGCATTTTCCCTGCTGGAGCTCATTCTCTCTCCTGCCACCCTGTGAAGAGGTGTCTTCCACCAGGATTTTAAGTTTCCTGAGGCCTCCACAGCCATGCAGAACTGTGAGTCAATCAAACTTCTTTTCTTTATAAATTACCCAGTCTTGGGTATTTCTTTATAGCAGCGTGAGAAGGTACTAATACAGTATCTCATTGTGGTTTTGATTTGTATTTTTCTAATTATCAGTGACGTTGTGCTTTATTTCATATGCTTGTTGACCACATGTATGTCTTCTTTTGAAAAGTTTATCTTCATGTCCTTTGCCCACTTTTTAACAGGTTTTTTTTTTCTTGTAAACAAGTTTCTTATAGATGCTGGATATTAGAACTTTGTCAGATGCATAGTTTGCAAATATTTTCTACTTTTCTGTAGGTTGTTGGTTTAGTCAGATGATAGTTTCTTTTGCTGTGCAAAAGCTCTTGCTTAGTTAGATTTCATTTGTTAATCTTTGCTTCTGTTTAACTTGCTTTTGGCATCTTGCCTGTTTCTATGTCCAGAATGATATTGCCTAAGTTGTTTTTCAGGGTTTTTATAATTTGGAGTTTTACATTTAAGTTTTTAATCCATCTTCAGTTGATTTTCATATATAATGTAAGGAAGGAGTCCAGTTTGAATCTTCCGCATATGGCTAACCAGTTATCCCAGGACCATTTATTGAACAGGGAATCCTTTCCCCATTGCTTGTTTTTGTCAGCTTTGTTGAAGATCAGATAGTTTTAGGTGTGTGGCCTTATTTTTGGGCTCTCTACTCTGTTCTATTGGTCTATGTGTCTGGCTTTGTATCAGTACCATGCTGTTTTGGTTACTGTAGTCCTATAAAGAAAGTAAGAAGAGAGTGAGACTAGGAGAAAAAGAGGGAGGTATATTTAATGAAAGTTTTTGTTGGTTTTTTTTTTTTTTTGTACAGGAACAATTAAGCATTTTTGAAGATGGAATAGAAAGAGTCACCATAGAAAACGAAGCTGAAGACTTCAAAAAATAATGGATGATTAACAAAGCGTATCATCATTGTGAATTGCGGAATTCACAATTCCATCATCCACTACTTACAAGCCTCTCCTGGGCAAGAGGCATAGGAAAACCTTTGAGTTTTAGGTAAAGATTAAGATGGTATAAGTTTAAAGCTCTCATTAAAAATTAGAGATGTGCAAATTCATGATTTAACCTAAGGAGATACAACTAAATTTGTACTCCTGCTATGTTCTCGCAGCACTCCTCACCTCCATCTGTCCCCCTCTTTCTCCTTTACCATTCTGAACTGTGGAATTGTACCTATTTACAAGCCTATCTCATCAGCCTTCTGCATCCCCCTGCTGTTGAGGGAGTGTCTGAATATTGGGAAACAAATAGGAATCCTTAATATGGCTCATAACCTTAGCAAGTGTAGTTGTCCAACTATGAGGCCAAGTGTTATGAGTGAAGTAAAGCTGAAAAGGCTTCAGGAGGAGTCAACAAAAATAATGCAGTCTGGGAAAATAGAACTTATGTGAGATTTTTTTTAAATCCTGAAACAACTCACCCCACCCTAAAAACAAAAACAAAAACAAAAAAACAGTGAAGTAAGGCAGAAATGTGATAAAACAAGGAAGGAAGTTAAGAAGTTGAAAAGTATATTAACAATTACTAAAGATAAAGGCTTTAGTGTAGAAAGTTAGTGAATATAAATGCTTGGTCTCTCAAGAAATATTTCTCAAATTATTAAAAACATTGGCTTCTGGCTCAGCATGAGGGTTCTTCTCTTTCTGCAGCAGAAGGCATATTAAAATGATTGCTACACCTCTCTACTTGTTATTTTATAACACTGAGTTAGTTTAAAGAAATCTCATGGGTTCTATTTATTCTTCAGTGGTGTGACTGATTTTACCGTGGGGAAATAGCCTCAGGAGACAAATAAGAGGTGGATATTTACCATGATGGTAAATTTGTTTTAATTTTTTTAATTGCTTTTTCCTCCCATTGACTTTGAATGAAACAGATGGGAAAACTAGAGTTGAGCTCGGCAGGCCTTTTGTATGTTCTGCTATTTGTGAATATATGCACATGTGTGTGTGCATATGGGTATGTGTACGTGTTGAGGGAACAGGCTTAACGACCTCCTGCTACCATATTTTTCTCATCATCCCCCAACTTTCTGGATTTCTGATATAAGACAGTTGGTCAATGTTAAAATACAAAGCTAGCAAAGACACAATATTAAGAATCTATTAGGTGGGTTTAAAATTAAATTATATTCATAAAGGCTGACAATGTTCATATTTGCAAAAGGCAATGTGATAAAGAAAAATACAAGAAATAATGAAAAAAAGTGAAAAAACTAGAGAAGCACCTAAAATAAAACAAAATGTCAGCCTAAGTGGGGAGGGTTTTTGGAAAATATTTGCGGTCAGTCTAAGTCAGATCTAATAAAAGCTTTGAGGCTTAAGTTCTAAAAAAAATTGATATGGTGCTTGTTTTTAGTATCCATTGAAGAAAAATGCTCTATTGAAGACAATCAGAAGATGTAATCAACTTGTAAATAATAGTGATGTTTTGCAAGGCTTGTTTTTATTTTCTGTTTCCTGATTTTACCTTTCCCCCAATATCAACATTTTGAATTCTGAAAAATTAATGTTTTGTCAATAGATCCATAATTTATGCTGAACGGTCTTCACAAAAAATTGTTGTAAAATAAATGATGAATACTCTTAGAAACATTTTCCATAAAATTTTTAAAACTAAAACAATCCAGAGTTGAACTTAAGGAGACAGGTAAATTCTTTTTTTTTTTTTTGTTTTTTTTTTTTTTTTTTTTTTTGGGACGGAGTTTCGCTCTGTCGCCCAGGCTGGAGCGCAGTGGCGCGATCTCGACTCACTGCAAGCTCCGCCTCCCGGGTTCACGCCATTCTCCTGCCTCAGCCTCCCGAGTAGCTGGGACTACAGGCGCGCGCCACCATGCCCGGCTAATTTTTGTATTTTTAGTAGAGACGGGGTTTCACCCTGTCAGCCGGGATGGTTTCGATCTCCTGACCTCGTGATCCGCCCGTCTCGGCCTCCCAAAGTGCTGGGATTACAGGCGTGAGCCACCTTGCCCGGCCAGGAGACAGGTAAATTCTAAGTGCCAGAAAAAAAGAAGTTAAACCAAAGCAATAAACAAGTGCTGATACAAATGGAATTTGTGGGAATTGAGAAGCACGGGGCATGAGAAAGGGGGCCTGGGATCAAAGTGAGCCGGGAAGGGAGAACTGACCTATTCTCTAAAGCTCACAATCTAGAAAAACAGACTGTACTACCTCTACATAGTATCCAAGAGGAGCCTAGTAACTAGTAGGTTTATTATTCATTATTATGTAAAGATAAACCAATGACCATTATTAAGTAGATTTTTTTTCTTTCTAAAGGAGAGGAAACTAGTTTAATGATATAGTGTTCACAGCAAGAGTAGCTGTCAATGTAAGGCCATATTTGTTCCATGGAAAAAAATGATCAAGCTCTTCTTCCCTCCCTCCCTCCAACCCTCCCTGCTTCCCTCCCTTCTTTCCTTCCTCCCTTTTATCCCCATCCCTCTTTCCTTCTTTTTCTCTTCCTCCTCCTCCTTCTCCCCTCTCTTTCCTTTTGTTTTTCCTTTTTCAGAATAGCACATTTATTTGATTGAATATTATAATTCAGACTCAATTTCTGGGTAGCACAAGCTTGAACATGAATAAAATCAAATGTGGAGATAGTGATGTTTTTTACTGAGCAACTGAAGGAACAGCAAGAGTAGCCCCAGTAGAATATTAGAAATAAATAAAATTAATACAAAAACTGGTACAGGATTTATTAATACCCAGGTGCTTGGACATTTTCACAATTCAAGTTCCATAGGATATACACTTTCTCTTACACATTTGCATGCACACACACACCCATGCACTCAAGTTATACCCCCAATTAAAAAATACACACAATAGAAAAAAACAAACAACTACAAAAGAGAATTATCAAAAGTAAATACAGGAATTTTGCAACAAGATCCAGAAATATTAGAATAATTCAAAAGACCTTAAGAATCATACTTAAGTACTTTATAGGGGCGGTTCCTGTGACTCCACCCACTAAGGACCAACTCTCTGCCTGCCAGGGTGGAATCCTGTACACTCACTTATGGAGGTGGATGTACTGCAGAGAGAGGGGACAGTGTCTAGAAATGTGGCTGTGAAATTCAGCCATAGCAAACCAGGAACACCTGCTGGAAGACTGGCCAGGTTTGTGGATGGCTCTATTGTAGTATAGTCAGATGACACTGCCGTGATAGTCACAGTGATCAATGAAACAAAATCTTCATGGTCTCTGTTCATGCCTTGATAGTCACAATAGAAAGAAAGCTGCTGCAGCGGTGGAATTCCCACATACTCTCTTAGAAGATAAGTTGCTTTCTCTGATAAAGAAATGGCTACGGCCGGGCGCAGTGGCTCACGCCTGTAACCCAGCACTTTGGGACTGAGGCGGGCGGATCACGAGGTCAGGAGATCGAGACCATCCTGGCTAACACGGTGAAACTCCGTCTCTACTAAAAATACAAAAAATCGGCCGAGCGTGGTGGAGGGTGCTTGTAGTCCCAGCTACTTGGGAGGCTGAGGCAGGAGAATGGCATGAAGCCAGGCGGCGGAGCTTGCAGTGAGCCGAGATCAGGCCACTGCACTCCAGCTTGGGCGACAGAGCGAGGCTCTGTCTCAAAAAAAAAAAAAAAAAAAAAAGAAATGGCTACAAGTGAATAATAGATGGTTCAGTCAAAACATCTCTTTCCAGCTGACTAGTTCTAAGATACACAGTTCCTTTGTAATTTTTGTTTGCAGTAGATGGTGTTAACGAACTGATGTCCTAGCAAACAATGGAGCTTCTGTAACCCCTTTATAGGAGGTATTTCTTGGAATGGGCATTGTTGGGGCAATACAATTAGGAATGACTAAAGGAAAATGTCTTAACACAATATACGTGCAAAAAATGTCATCTCATACTTTAAACTTGGTGGATGCTGAAGCATCCAAAAAGTCAGACTGTGATATTACAATGCCTGCAAAAAAAAAAAAATTATATATATACATATATATATATATACACACACACATATATATATATATACATACACATATATATATATATATAACATCAGGATTTCTGCCACAACATTAATCTGGGAGTGAGGTTTACTGAACAAATAGTTCATACCATACAGCAATGAGTAAAAGAAATTGGTGTTACCAAGCAGACAAGTTCGACATCACTTTCTTCTTTATAAGAGATTGTGAAATACAGTCACACATTGGCTTTGGAAAGATTATTCAGTTTTAATTTTTAACATGTAAAAATTTCTAGAGATAAAGTTATTAACAAGATGATGTTGGATAATGTAGTGGTACTAAATGAAAAATTTCTAGAGATTATTCCATATTAATAGAATCTTTCAATACCACTTTAAAAGAGGCTTTAAAAAGTATTATTTTGAATGACTACAAAGGTACGATAGTTTAGATATGACTTCATTTAGGAATGTATTGTAAGGCTGACATATTTCAAACTCTTCATTGGATCAACACTGCTTTAAAAAAGACAATAGCTAGTACTTTGTATGATCACACCTGATTCATTAGAATTCACTCTGAAGTCTGATTTTATTACAAAAGCAATAAATGGAACAAGATACAAAGTTTATATTGCACTGTTTCCTACTTACACAACTAATAAAATTGACTAGGTCATATGTTTAAATAGAAGAGAACCTGGGCATGATGATCTGACTGATTAAGCTTTTTGAAGTATTATTTACAAATATTTTGCTTTCACTCTGAGAGTTGCAGTTGAGATCCTTGAATCGAATGGGTCTTATCTATTCAATAACACTCTCTGCAGTGATGAAAACACTCTATACCTGCATTGTCCCATATGGTAGTCATCAGCCACACATGGCTCTTGAGCCCTTAAAATGTGGCTAGCGTACCTGAGAAATTGAATTTTTAATTTAATTTATTCTGGTTAAATTTGAATTTAAATAGCCACATGTGACTAATGACTACATTATTGGACAATGCAAGTTTATAGCATAGATCAATAGTGGACGTTTAGAATTAATAGAACCAGGGGTTCCAATTTCACATGCCTTTGCAGAGTAGGAATGTTATTATTTACCAAAAATAATATTGAGGACTATAAAATAGATTATCATTTGTTGACAGAATTCATGAGAATTAGAGATCAAGATGGTGGCACTAATTTAAAATAGCTGACATCAAAAACGAAGTAGCTGTAATACAGCCCAATATTAAATTATCAAGGACACCAATAAAAATTTAATGGAGGCCATTCAACAAGTCTCAGGAGTAAAGGAGAAGCTATAACAGGAAATGAAAAAATAACTCAAAAGCCTCCAGCATCTAGAAAATAAAACAGACCTGTTGTAGAAACTGTCCAGATTTCATTACACAAAAATGATCCAAGTGTCTCAGACCAGGTAGATGTAATTTTTAAAACTTCAGGTAAAAGGAGGAATAACTATTCATCAGTTGGGGGGAAGAGAATTTCTTTATATTTGCATTACTTTGTAGTGCCATGCATGAAGCTAAATACCTCATTCCTAATATCTGTAAAGATAATAAGGGAATGCAATTAGAATCTGCAGCAGTGTGTACTGACACAAGAAGTGATATCGGAGACACTGGAACAACGGTAAAGCTGTATTAAAGCATGATTTCAATATACCTCACAACATCCAGCCTGATCAATGAAAGGTTGAATATCATACTGTCCTACAATTAGCAACTGCCCAAAAAATATAGGTGAAATATTTCAGATATTATCTAGCTGATGAAAGAATGAGGTATTATTATCAAGTAATTCAGTTGTCTGCTCTAACTTCTGTCAAAACTTTAAATGGTAGAAGCAACATAGTAATAGCAGAGGCAATTCTTCAATTATTGTTTATTATTTCCCATGATTTCTTAAATAACTGCAGAGTAAAATTTGCCTCATTGAAAGAGACAGCAACATTTCAAGAATTCCAGTGTGTGCATTTATATATAAAATAAATATGTACTAATATTTTGTTTAAAATGCAATAAAGGAATTTTTAAAACAATAGAAACAAAATAGGCAGTGTGAAAAAATGTAGGCAGTGTGAAAATAGGAGTACTTAAAACATAATCAATGAATTTCTTTAAATGAAAAATAAGTTATTTAATTTAAAATAAAGAAGTCCAGGTCCAGTGGTTTGTGCTTGTAATCTCAGCACTTTGGAAGGCTGAGGTGGGAGAATCGCTTGAGGCCAGCAGTTTAAGACCAGTGTGGATGACATAGTGAGACTCCATCTATACAAAAAATTTTTTAAAATAAAAGAAACTAGCTTGACATGGTGGCATGTGCCTGTGGTCCTAGTTACTCAGGAGGCTAAAGTAGAAGGATCCTGTGAGCCATGAGTTCAAGGTTGTAGTGAGCTATGATCATGCCCCCACCACACTTTAGACAGGGCAATAGAGTAAGACCCTTTCTCAAGAAGATAATATAATATAAATATTTTACATAAACATAATATATAATATAAAAAACTCAGTGGGTAGTTGGAGAGCAGATTAAATAGCTGAAAAAAGAATTAGTAAATTGGGAAATAGATATAAGGAAATTACTGAGTGACTAACACGAAGAGTTAAGGGATAGAAAAGTATGAAAGATTTGTTATGAGAAAGATAGGCTGACAAGAACTTTTTATTGAAATAATACATCCTCATCTACAGTCCAACCCAATTTTCTTAGATGCAGGCCAGGAGGAAAAATGACCTAACAATTTATCATTTCAAAACACAAGAGGACATAAGCTACTATGAACAAGAGTCGGTAGAAGAAACCTAGCAAATTTAGACCCCAATGACTCAGATAGTCTCAAGATCAGAAAGAGATTACAAAATAATTTATGAATGGAAAGTTCATGAAGCCACAACATAAACAAGTAATAAGATTTAAAATAACAAAACAAATCTGAAGAACAAACCAGGATATTCAGAAAAAAATCCCTGAAACTGAAGGATAGATTTAAAGAAATTTATTTAGATTCAGCAAAGAGACACAAAGAGAAGGAAAATAGAAGACATGTTAGAACACATGGAGGCTATAATGAGAAAAAGTTGCACACATCTACTCCGAGTTTCAGAAGAATAGAAATGCAAACATGGGAAGAAATAATATTTTAAGAGTGGCTGAGAATCCCAAGAATTAAGATTGTCAGATTCAGAAAGCATCCCAAATCCTGTAAGGATAAATAAAAACAAATCCAAGTCTACACACGTTTAGCAAACAGCAAAACTCCAAAGATAAAGAGAAGATAGTAGAAACAACCAGAGAAGAAAGACACATTACCTATAACGTACTGTCAGCTGGATTCACTGAAGGTGTTTCAAAAGCAAAAATAAAAGCCAGAATACGTTACAGTGTTATCTTAATAGAACTTAGAGAAAATAACTACAATCAGGAATTGTTTACTCAGCAAACTCACTCTCAAGACTGAGCAATTCCAACAAACAAAGGCAGTTTATTGTAAGTATACATTCTTATGAGGAAATATTACAGATAGAAGACAAAATAAATTGAGCTCAGACTAAAGAAAATTTAAGATCCAAATAGAAACTAAAAGTTAAGAAATGAAAAACATGTTGGTTAGCATCAAGTGATAAACCATAATAATTTCTAACTTGTGGGATTAGTAGACAACTTGTTATATATATATATACACACACACACACACACAAACATATATATATATATATATATATATATATATATATATATATAACGTGTTACTGGAAACAGGTGTTACATTACATAGGAACGTGCTATAGAAGTTAAACCCTATGTATTAAGTGTGTGTTAAAAAGAAGATAGGCACTGATTAACTTTGATCTTATTAAACTAAATATGCATGGCATTTTTAAAGAATACCCGTTAATAACAAAAACAGAGTACATAACACTCAAGTCTGTACAGGAGGAAAAAATACAATAAAAAATGACACTAGAAGGCAAGAAGACAGGAAACAAATTAAGGTTAAATGTATCAGTATCAGTATTCCCAATAAACGTAAGTAGACTAACCTTCCCTTTATCTCCACACACAGAGTTAAGAGAAACTGTTGGGTTATATGTTGCCTACAGAAGATACACATAAAGACATAGAAAGTTAAATATACTTTTAAAGATGGCCAGGTAAGTTCAGGTATTTCTCTTTTTCTCTGCCTATAAACCATTCAAAAGCAACAAAGAAAATAAAAAATGAAAATTACAGATACCAGGGAGTTTTGGAAAATTAAGCAGCAACAAACCCCCTAAATCCCGAAAGTGGTGAAGGCACTGGCAAAGCATTAGAGTCAAAACAGGGGTAGAAACAGAGTGGACCCCACATCTGCCAACCTCAGAAAATGGTGAATGGCAAACCTGTTCTAAACCCTTTGTCTGCAACAACTGAAATACACTATACAAACTGTTTTCATGACATTCCTTTGATCTGAATTTTTTCCAAGAATTAGAGGCAAGGTTGAACTAGGAACCATACAATGAAGAACCCAAATGGGAACTTGTGTGATAAATATGTCATCTTAAATGGTAGATTAAAAAGATGAATTATTGTTCAAATGGTGTTGTGACAACTGGATACTCATCTGAAAAACAAACAAACAAACAAAAACAGAACAAGAAGTCTTGAATCCATACCTTACATCAGGGTAAATTTCAAGATAACTAAATATTTAAAAAAATAAAACCATTAGCATACTCTAAAAACCTTAGGAGAAAATTGTAAACATAATTTCGTACTGAGGATAGTCTTTCTAAATACAACACAAAACAAGATACAAAAGGAAAGCATAGAATTTTTTTCCATGTGAAAAAGACCATTGGCAAAGTAAAAAGACAAATGACAAAAGGAAAAACAATATTTGCAATTCGCATCACAGATAAAAGTTCTCTACCCACTTATTTTCTGTGCCACAACAAAATTTTACCTTCATCAGTGTGAGCAAAGAATTGACAGAATGAACATATGACCAGCCAGGTAACAGAATAGGAAATACAAATGGCTTTTAAACATAAAAAAGGTTATCAACTTTACTCAGTACAAAAGAACTACAAAGTAAAACGACACTGAGGTATCATTGTTTGACCTAACTGATTGGCAAAGATCAAGTTAGAAAACACATTCAGTGTGTTAGGCAACTGGAAAATAGCCACTCTCATACCTTGATGATAGGAGAAAAAATTGATAGTTCACACACTTAGAAACACGTCAACTCTTTGGCAAGTTATTCTGCGTGTAGATATTTATCATGTAGGTTTGCTTTTATAAGTGAGAAGTTATATTCGCAAATTACACATCGCAGAATGGTTTGCAACGCCAAAGTTTAGAAACCACCATAATACTTAACAATAAAGAATGGATTCTATAAATAATAGCTTTGATTCACATAAGGTAATACTGTATAGCTTTTGTGACTTGACATGGAATAATCTCCAAGCACATGCAAAACAAGGACTCCTTATTGTTTATGTCATTTGTTTCAATCATTTATTCACATATGCATTCAGTCATACATTCCTAGGAAGCATTTTTATGGTTGCTCATGTATTGATTCTTAGAGAATATAAAAATTTATACATATATAATATGTATGTATAAAATGGCCTATATATTAAAGGCAGTATAATTTAGTGGCAGAGGATTGAACGATGGAGAATGAAGACAACATACACAAAAACATTGAAAACAATTTAGACTCCAGAAGGAACTTTCTCTTCAATATAGAAAAATAAGTATCTCTATTAGAATATATAAATCAATTTTAATTTTATTTACTTTAAAAGCACATTTAATGCAGCCTTTACAAAAGATGCTAATTTTTTTTCTGACATTAAAAAGTTAATTAGTAAGTCTGAGTGCCTTTTTCGCTATCTAAAATGCAATCTGTTCGTTTGTGGGCGGAATATGTTATGATTTTATTGTGTCATGCACTGACCAGCTGCTAATTTATATTAAGCCAGGTATATTTGTTCAAAAGAGCAAAATATTCAAGGAATAATCAAAACAGTCCCCCCTAGTTCCAATAAAGTTTCATCCTAGAGCTTTCTGTTAATTGCCCCTGACTTTATAAATGACAACAGATGGACTCCATGGCTAAAAGGAAAAAAAATAATGCAGTCTATGTCAATTTTTGTAGAAATTCTCAAAGACAAAACAGGCAGACATAAAAGACACATTTGAAGACAAAACTGTATGAAATTTACACAATAGTATTTGTGGATAAACATAAATATTTTAGAAGCATACAGACGGAAATAAATACTTTTCAAAGTTTTTGATAATAGAAAGAAAAGACAAATTTTTAAATCAGTAACTTATCTGTAGTTTCATGTTTTTAAACTGCATTATATTCTTTTGGTTCATAGATTTATTATTCTGTTAAAACTCAATGTTTATTTGAGCTACATATTTTTGTCAAGGTTCTTGTTCTATGTTTGAGAAAAAGGGCACCTCTAGTGCAGTTCAACGTTTTTATATTAAAGGGTGACTAATCATGCCTTCTCTTCTTGTTCACACTTTTTACTAGGCAGATGAAATGTTTTGCAAATTTAGAATCCATGTGCCATCTGGCTTTGTTGTACATAATTCATGCACTGAAAGGCAGTGCAGTTACATGGTTAAAAGCATCTATTTTGGAGTCAGACATACCTTCTTTTGTCACAGGCTGTGTGAATAGGAGCTAATTACTCACCATCTCTGGGCATCTACTATTGACATTAGGGCCACAGTTTGGTGGTCAAGCAACTCTGTCTAATATGATCCTCACACTTTCTCCCAGGTGAAAGAACCTCTGTGGACTGCATAAAACATACAAACTGTATTTGCAACTATATTGACTGCTAGCTATATAGGGTAGCACTGTCTAATAGATACATTACATGAGCTACTCGTGTGTAATTTCAAATTTTCTAGTAGCCACATTTTTAAAAATACACAGGTAAAGTTTATTCTAAAAGTATATTTAGTATATTTAGTTTAATACAACTTATTTAAAATATTATCATTTCAACATGTAATCAATTTAAAAATCTTATTGAGATGTTTTCATTATGTTTACATATTGCCTCTTCAAATTTAGTGTGTTTTATATTCATATCACAAGTCAACTCAGACTAGTCACATTTGAGGTGCTCAATAGCCTCCTGTTGCTAGTGATTTCCATATTGGACAGCACAGATAAAGACAGCTGCAGCTGGATTTGGAAGAAGCAACAAGAGAATGCACTGGCATAGAGACTTGGGGGAGAATAGAACTAAACTGATTAAAGGAAAAATGTGGTTACACAAGGAAAGATATTCTCATTATAGAATTTATGATTTGTACTGATTCTTATTTTAAAATAACTTTCCAAAATATACAAACTGGGCAGGGGATGTTTCATCTAGCACATGATATTTTACCTTTTTAAAATTAAAAAAAAGTTACCACCTAAAGATTCATAGCATAGCATTAAATACCATAACATGTCAATGTGATTTCCATTTGAAATTGATCAGAAAGAAAAAAAATATATCTTAGCCTAAGAAGACTCAGGAAAATATATCCTTAAATATGTAAAGCAGTCTCAGAAGATGCTCCCCCCAAAAATGCCCTTTGTTCAAAAGAAATGGCTCTTAAAATTTATAAACAACTTTAGCAAAGTTTCAAGATACAAAATTAACGTGCAAAAATCAGTAGCATTTCTATACATCAATAACTTCCAGGCTGACAATGAAATCAAGAACACAATCCCACTTACAATACCCTCAAAGAAAATGAAATACCTAGGAATACAGCTAACTAAGGAGATAAAAGATCTCTACAAGGAGAGCCACAAAACAACTGCTGAAAGAAATCAGAGGTGGCACAAACATGAAAAAACATTCCATGCTCATGGATAGGAAAAATCAGTATTATTAAAATGGTATGATGTACAAAGCAATGTACAGATTCAATGCTATTTCTAGCAAGCTACCAATGTCGTTCTCACAGAATTAGAAAAAAAAAAAAAAACTATTCTAAAATTCATATGGAACCAAAAAAGAGCCTGAATAGGTAAAGCAATCTTAAGTAAAAAGAACAAAACCAGAGGCATCACACCACCTAACTTCAAACTATACCATAAAGCCACAGTAATCAAAACAGCTTGGTACTGGTACAAAAACAGACACGTGGACCAATGGAACATAATAGAAAACTCAGAAATAAAGCTGCACACCTACAACCATCTGATCTTTGACAAGGTTGTCAAAAACAAGCAATGAGGAAAAGACTATTCAATAAATTTTGCTGGAATAACTGGCTAGCCATATGCAGAAAAAAGAAGCTGGACCCCTACCTTTTGATATATATATATATATATATATGTGTGTGTGTGTATATATATGTGTATATATATGTATATATATATATAAATTAACTCAAAATAGATTAAAGATTTAAGTGTAAGACCTCAAACTATAAAAATCCTGGAAGAAAACCTAGAAAATACTCTTTTTGACATCAGCCTTGGCAAGGAATTTTTGTCTAAGTCTCCAAAAGCAACGGCAACAAAACCAAAAATAGACAAGTGGAACCTAATTAGACTAAAGGTCTTATGCACAGCAAAAGAAACTATCAGCAGAGCAAACAGACAGCCTACAGAATGGGAGAAGATATTCACAAACCATTCATCCGACAAAGACCTGGTATCCAGAATCTATAGGGAACTTAAACAAATCAATCAACAAAACACAAATAATCCCATTAAAAAATGGGTAAAGGACATGAACATTCAAGTGGTCAACAAAGATGAAAAAAATGCTTAGAATCAATAATCATCAGAGAAATGCAGATCAAAACCATGATGAGATATCAACTCGTAACAATCAGAATAGCTATTTCTAAAAAGTCAAAAAACAACAGATGCTGGCAAGGCTGCGGGGAAAAGGGAATGCTTATCCGCTGCTGGTTACAATGTAAATTAGCTCAGCCATTGTGGAAAGTATTCTGGCAATTTTTCAAAGAACTTAAAACAGAGCTATCATTCAATCCATTAATCCCATTACTGGGTATATACCCAAAAGAAAATAAATTATTCTACCAAAAAGACATAGGCACTTATATGTTAATCACAGCATGATTCACAATAGCAAAGACATGGAATCAACCCAGGTGCCCATCAACTGTTGATTGGATAAAGAAATGTGGTACAAATATACCATGGACTACTATGCAACCATAAAAAAGTAAAATCATGTCCTTTGCAGCAATATGCATGGAGCTGGAGGCCATAATCCTAAACAAATTAATGCAGGAACAGAAAACCAATTACCATATGTTCTTACTTATAAATGGGAGCTAGGCATTGAGTACACATGGACATAAATAAGAAAACAATAGACACTGTGGACTACTAGAGGGTAGAGGAGGGAGGTGGGTTAAAAAACAACCTATCGGCTGGGTGCGGTGGCTCACGCCTGTAATCCCAACACTTTGGGAGTACGAGGTGGGCGGATCACGAAGTCAGGAGATTGAGACCATCCTGTACACCATCTCTACTAAAAATACAAAAAATTTAGCCGGGCGTGGTGGCAGGCGCCTGTAGTCCCAGCTATTCAGGAGGCTGAGGCGGAAGAATGGCGTGAACCCGGAAGGCACAGCTTGCAGTGAGCCGAGATCGCGCCACTGAACTCCAGCCTGGGCGACAGAGCAAGACTCCGTCTCAAAAAACAAACAAACAAACAAAAACAAAACAAACAAACAAAACCGACCTATCGGGTACTATGTTCGCTACCAGGGTGACAGGATCCGTACTCCAAACCTCAGCATCGTGCAATATTCTCATGTAACAAATATGCACATGTACTCTCTGTATCTACAATAAAAGCTGAAATCCAAGAAAGAAAAAAGAATTTCTATTGGCAATGCTTTTGCTTTCATCTAAGTCTAATGCAGATTCATGTCTGCCAAGAACTGACTTCCTATGTCTCCATCCTGACAGGGAGAAGCCCCAAAGTACCCAATTCTCTCATTCTGTTCTTGTAATTCTTGTGTCTCAATCTCTTTCTGGAAAAAGCCCCCACCAAAATGTTAGGAAGCCATTAAGAATTCATCTCCATTCAATCTTTCAAATCTCTGCCAAAATTGAGAACAGAGTGCCAAACAGCTCTAAGTTGTTTGTAGATCTGAGCTGAACTGAACAGATGAATTCACATTTATTTCCCATTACAAATTCTGAGTTATCTGACTTCCTATCAGATTTAATTTTGATTACGTCTACTGGTTTCATTAATGAAAGCAGTAGGAAAAAATGAGTAATCATATATAAAACAGTCTATAGTGTAATCACATTATGAATATAGATATTTCATTTCTCAATGGTTGTCCTGGTCACACTTTGCACCTTATTATCAGCTGGTTACCGAATTTTTCAGCAAATATGCTTCTCCCTTTTGTGATGCTAGCTGCCTCTGTGATTTTGTTTTTTTGGTAAGTGTCAAAAGTATGGAAGCATACAATCTATTAAATAAAACAAATTTTGGTGACTTTACTTCTTCATTAAGATGTGCAACATTAGTAAAAAATTAGACAAGTTTGTGTGTTTGCACAATATAGAAGATTAATTGATATTAAGGTTTAAAAAGGGATGCTTTTCATTATGAACAATCTCTGTGCTTTCTAGGGTTTTGAAGAATTGTACCTATGAGCATTGTATTATTCAAAATACAACTGTGAAATCTTTCTCACTGCCTAAAAAAACAAGTCATTACCATCAAGTGGTGCTTGCCCTATGGGTTTATCAAGGCACATACGCCTTAATGATAGATGTACAGGTGAGTGACAGTTCACTTGAGGGAGCTGTTTAGAGTTAAAAAAAGACACAGCCTACTACAAGTAATTACTTAACTTCTCTTTAATTCCTATAAAACATCAACATAAAAATTATTTCAATGAATGCCACAAGGGTTATAGTTAAATATGACATATGCTAAACATTTTACTGCAGAAAGTAATGCAAAATTGAAATGACTATGAGGATAGCTTGTATACTAGGAAAATATCTTTGAATAAAACAGCCTTCTTCTGAATAACCCCTTTTTGCTTTATATGTCAAAATACAAGAATTCAAATACACCTTTCCATCATATCAGACCCTAGAGAGTGGATATTAGGTGGTCTGAATACACTAGAGATGAGGTTAAAGAAATTGAACAGCTAGTTTACAGTAGTACTTTTCTTGTGGTGCTTTTAAAAAGAGAAAAAAGTTATTGGATAAGAAAAGAGAACCACTTAAAATGCCCAACAAAAAAAGGAAACAAAAACATATACGTATATATGTATATGTGTATATATTAAGGGAAAAAAATCCACGTATATATGCTTTTGTGTATATATAGTATATTGTATTGCACATACATATACGTATCACATACATACAGACACATACAAATGCACACACATATATGTAACAATCATCCATTTTAAAAATTCACAAATGCATCATGGGCCAAGTTGAGCACTTTATGCCTTGTAAGGTTACTTTTTATGCAGATTACTTGGAAAAGTACTGTTTGCCTCTCTTGTGTGACTTCCATGAAATCAGCATTCAGCAAGTCTGTCTTCCTGGCAAACAACGGAACATTCAGCTCATATGTAAGAGAAGAGATCCCACCAATGAGAAGGAAGGGCACAGAGTGGGAAAAGTGACAACTCTGGTACAAAGAAGCAAAGAACGATGATTCAGAAGGAGGGTGGGAGAGCGAAGCCTGCCTCCACGCCTGCCACGGTGTAGATTCCACAACTGGCACTTACTTGGCAGATAACCCGTCAGGGCGCCGACCTTGGCAGCTTTACAGAGGTAACCTTTATGTGAAGAGGAACTGTTCATAAACAATGTCTCCAATATACTTGCCACAAAAATTATTTATTTTTCCCAGGAAAAAGGGAAAAATACATGGCAAGGCATATTTTATTTTTCCACCCCTCCCCACCCTTTATAAACTAAACGCCTTGTATCAGGGGCAACATTTATGGCTCACTATGGAAAATTTCCCATATGCCCTATCGATCTTTCATAGTCCTTAAGGATGTGTAAACAACATTTAATTATAGGACACAGCAACAATGGCTTTTATGAGTTCACTGAATTTTCCTTTCAATTCAAGGCCATACGATAACTAGTTCTCCTTAGTAACGTTTGTCTGGGTAATTCTGTTAGGCGATTTCATTCCCAGGGAGGCAGTCTTCACCTGGACCGTTGCCTTCTGTCCTAGGGGTTCTTCTTTCATCCACATGCCACATTATGCAAGTGGCTGTGGTGGTGGCTCTCTTCCTTTCATTTACATGATCACTAACTGCCTGCAATTTGTGATTTTCAGTGTTCCTCTACTGACAATCAAAGGTGCCAAAATACATATAGTACCTTGTGTGTGAGAAAAAGAAAGCTCTTGTTTAAAAAAGGGTAGAAGGTAATTTTATACTCTGGCAGTATGAAGCATTAATTCAGTGGGAGCAAAGAAAAATGAGAGTCTAACCTTGTTTTTAAATAAACACAGAAAGACTAGGAACAGTGTCCTTTCTGGGGAGAAAAAGTATGTTTGAAGACTTTACATGCCTGTGCATGTGTAGTAAGCTGCCAGCTGAGACTAGCGGTAAGTCCATTCAGAAATTTCAGCTCATAGCTCCTCTGGCAATAATGTGCTATTGTGCCCGCTAGCTCCAAGTCAGAAAGGGCTTTTTCCCTTACAGCTGGCATCAGGCTTAGTGATGAATCACTTGCCTCTTAATGGTTTTGTTCCTCTTATTTTGTTGGAGATTACTGGCCTCGACTGATGGATCCATGCAACTGGTAAAAGCAAAAAATAGCTACTCTAGAGTAAAAAAACAAGGAAGAAAAAAACAATACTTCTTCCTTAGTTTGGCAGCAAAACCAGTCAGTTTTGGTTGCTGATGACTGGAAATTTAGTTTCCTATTCCGTACCTCAGATATCATTGTCTTTACTCATAACAGCCAGACCATGCTATAAATAAAGGAAAATAGTTTCTATTAAATAAGCAAGTACTGTTAAGCCAGAGTGAATACACTTCTGTTTTGAAAGGGTATTTTGGGTATTAAAACAATATTATCTTATATATCTGCCCTCTATATCTCCATACAGTGCTGTATACTTTATATATTTTTAGTATTCATCCTAATTTCAATTAATAAACTATGTGTTACTTATTTGTTTATCAATAGTGTTCCATGCTATTTTATCAATACTGTAAGTGTGAGAAAGTAAAGACAAGCCCATCTTTTCATTACTGCGTCCCCATCACCGGTGCTCAATAAATAGTTTAAATCAATGACTATATGGCTAATACAAGGATGTATAATGTAAGGTGTCATTACATTAGGTGTGTTTTGTTATGAAAAATCAAACAAACTTATACATTCCCATGAAAATATGAGGGAACAGTAACTATGACATGAGAGAAAGTGATGTGGAAATTTGGAGAAGGAGAAATTTACTTTTTGACTCAGGGGAGGGGAGATCAGAGCAGGCTGCAAGGCAGGGGTGGTGTTTAATTTGGGGTCTGAGGGTAGAAGAACAATGGAAACATTGAGTAGCTGAAAAGCATAGACAGTATTTGAGTAGAACAAATTGTTTGAAGCAGAAGGCTGATTTATAAAAGTTGTTGGAAATCATGCTGGTAAAAACAGATTAGGATCAATTTGTTAAAAGCCTTGTGCAACAAACCAGAAGATTTACATTTTACTTAGTCCTAAAGGGAGTCAGGAATGATTTTTAGTGAGTAAAGTACAATAATCAGAACGGGACATTGAGAACACTAATCTGGAATCAAGGTGAAAGATATGTTGGGGTGTGAAGAGGAAACTGAGGAGTTAAATTAAATGCTATTATTATCATCTAGAAAGTAGATAATAAGAGTATGAAGTATGGTGAAGAGGGTATGAATGGAGACGACAGTTTAAATAGAAGAGATGATGCAATGGCAAAAAGAAGATGCTTTTGTCAACAGAGCATTTGGATTTGGAAAAGAGATGACTTGGAGGTTTTAAACACCATTTAGCAGGCCAGTGATGGCATGGTAACCAGAAATATGAAAAAAATAAATCTGGATAACAAGATGATGAATTTAGTCTTAAGCATGGTAGTTAGAGGCATTGACAGGCCATTGGCTTAGAAAATTTAATTTAAAATGCAATTGGAATTTCAGTTTAGAACCTCCATGGGAGAGCAATCCATGATGATGGGACATGCATGTGAGGAGCAGCAGGCAGGTCTAGTGGATTGGACGCAGATGTCATTGGAAATAAGAAGGCAAAAAGTTCTTCAGTGCCAGGGCAGTCTGGGGGAAAGGGTGATCTAGAAAAGCACATAGATAAAAAAGCACTCTTTACTTAATTCCTAGCTCCTGGGCTCTTCCTCTAGCTATTTACAGAGAACTGTGATGGGCTATGAATGAAATATAATCAACTGCTAAATACCTTTTGAACCTTCACTATACACAAAGCTTGGTAATAGGCTCTGAAGGGAAAGAAGGAAATACAGTTCATAATTTCCTCTCATAAAAATGTTTGTAATCTAGTAAGGGAGATGTCATTTATTTAATTACAGATTATTCAAAACCATGAAATAAGCACCTACTTTGAACTAGGTATAGCTCCACTTCTTACCCCTCAGAGATCTCTTCGGCAGGCTAGACATTTCAGTTCTTTCAACTACTGCTTTAAAACAGGTGGTGTCAAATGTTTTTCCTACTCCCATTCTCCTTCTAATTTATCAATGTTGTTCTTACAGCTGATGTCAGAATTGTGTGCCGAGGTAAGTAGATCACTGAAAGCTGGAGAGTGGCTGTTATATCCAGTGGTAGAATTCCTTAGGTCAGGATATTATATTTCTATCAATGTAAGCAAAGACCCCTTTATGGCCATTTGATGAAACTTTTTCTCACATAGAAAAATTAAGATACACAGATAAGCAATAAAAGACAAAGGAGAAGGAGGAGAAGAAGGAAAAGGAGAAGGAGGAGAAGGAGGAGGAGGAGTTGATGACGACAAAGGAGGAGGAGGGTGAAGAGGAGAGAAGAGGGAGAAGAGGAGGAAGAGAATAAGGCAGAGGAGGAGGAGAAAGAAGAGAAGAATTCCACACCCCCAAATTCTAGTTTTTAGATACAGAGTGATCACTTTAACATTTAACTCAGATATTTATTAGTTTCTCTGTCTAGCAGCTGTGTGACCACAAGACTGAGGTTCTCATCTTTTCTAGGATACCAACATTTCTGAGTGGCACCTACCTTTGCCCTCTCTCAGTCTATCAGCTTCTTTTCCAGTTACCTTTGCCCCAGGTCTTAGATCTTGACCCTTCTCTCAGACGTAGGCTGCTGCCACTGTCTACACCAGCCTGCTGCTTGGAGCTCACCAGGTGCTTCTTGCTCCTGCACTCTCGTCGTTTCCCTGAAATAGGGAAACTGCCTGCAACCCTTTCCTTAGTCCCCTTGGCAGTTGCTCTGTCTTCATCAGGGTTGACTCCACTGCCACTTCTTTCCAGAGCTTTCGGTGGATTTTCTCTCTACAGCATATGTTATCTGTACTGCTGTCACAATCATCCAATGATGCTTAAACCATGAGAAAGATCTTAGGGGAAAACTAGCTGTACTCATCGCCATTGCACAGGGACCTTCAGTGACTGATACTTGACTGTATTTATCAGTTCTAATTAATGCCAATTTAAAAACAAAATCACCCTTCCAGGAGACTCTGACCTTGAAGTTTCTTCTGATCACTTTCTTGCCTCAGGGTCTTCCCATTGTACTCTCCCCTACTCCCAAGACCGCTAGTAGAGTCATTGGCTCCGGAGACCACCTTGAGATTTCTATCCCACTCCCCAAATGAGAATAGCTACCTTATTGGAGTCCCAGGTAACTCTGAATTATCTGGTGGAAGGAGCTGGCCACAGGACACATCAGTGTTCTTGATACAGAGCTCAATAGTAAACTCTAGACTTATTGTCAGTTCACTGCACCATATTATTAGAACACTCAAGGTCGTAAGAACCTGAAAGTACCATTTACACAGGCAAACAGGAATTTATCGGCTTAAAAAGCTGAAAATTTTTGTTACCTTTGTGTGTGTGTGTGTGTGTGTGTGTGTGTGTGTGTGGTGAGAACACTAAAGTACATATGTAACAAACCTGCACATTGTGCACATGTAACCTAGAACTTAAAGTATAATAAATATATATATATATAAAAGATCTACTCTCAGTAAATTTTAAATATATATAATATATTATCATTAACTATTATTAGTGATAGTTACCATGCTGTAACTGAAAGTTTGTATCCTCTGACCAAAATCCCCATATTTCCCCCACCTCCAAGTCCCTACCCTCTTTTTCTACAAGTCTGACTTATTACAATCCCACATGTAAGTAAGATCATGCAATATTTGTCTTTCTGTATCTAGCTTATTTCTTTTAGCATAATATCTTACATGTTCATTCATATTTTCAAAAATGGCAGAATTAACTTCTTTTTTAGGGCTGAAAACACACACACACACACACCTATACACACACCACATTTTACATTTTCTTTAACCATTCATCCATTGTGAACACAAATTACTTCCACATCATGGCTATTGTGATCTCTTCAACTGATTTTATTTCCTTTGGATATATACCTAAAAATGTGATGGCTGAATCAAATGGTAGTTCTATTTTTAATTTTTAAAGGAATATCCTTAAAATTTGCCTAGGATAGTTATTTTCTATAATGGCTATTTTCTATAATGGCAGCACCAATTTACATTCCCACCAACAGTGTATATGGGTCCATTTCCCCCATATCCTTGCCAACAATTGTTATCTTCTTACTTTTTTATATGGCCATCTTAACAGGTGTGAAATAATCTCTCACTGTGATTTTGATTTGCATTTTCTGATTATTAGTGATGTTGAACATCTTTCTGTATACCTTAAATATATACAATTTTCCCCTCAATCATACCTCAATAAAGCTGTCTTATTCTGTTCTGTGCTTCCAAAATAGAATACCTGAGACTGAGTAATTTATAAGAACAGAGATTCATTTCTTATAGTTCTGGAGTCTAGAAAGTCCAAGGTTGAGGAGTCCACATCTGGCAAGGCCCTGCTTACTGTGTCATCCATGGCAGAAGGTGAGAGGGCAAGAGAACACACACAAGAGAGAAAGAAGGGAAGGGGGCCAAATTCATTCTTTTATCAGGAACCAACTTTCAAGATAACTAACCTGCCATCTCTACAATAGCATTAATCCACTTAAGACATTAGGGCCCTCATGACCTAATCACCCCTTAAAGATTCACCTCTCAACACTGTAGCACTGAGGATTAAGTGTCTAAAATATGAACTTTGAGGAACACATTCAAACCATAGTAAAGTTAAAAAAAAAAACTGAAAATTTGGGGAAATGGGATAAACTGATTTTAAGTAGAGCTGTATACACAGGCTTAAAGGACAGGTTTAGTATCTGGATTTTTTCTGTACATTCGTGCCCTACTTCTCTGTTGGGTTCACTTTTGGACAGCTTCTATCCTATCAGTGGAAATACGGCTGCTGTATAGGTCGAAACAGCTTCCTTTTAGTTTCAAATGTTAGGAAAAAGAGGATCTTTCACCAAAATTCAGCTAGAAAATTAATATTTGACTCATATTAGTCCAGTGACAATTTCTGAACCAAATATTATGGCAGGGGAATGAAAGGTACTAATTGATTCAGGCTGGGACCACATGGCAACTCCAGATTGGGATAGAGTTGACCCCAGTAAAAATTGGATCACTTTTACTAAAAGAACAGGAAATGAATGCTGGATTGCTCAAACCCAACAGATAACTGCTACAACCTGCCATTGTCCTGTGTATACTGGTGAAAACACAAATTAGTGGGGTATTGCCAGTGTATACCTGGAAAAGTATTCCACATACACACACATGGATTTCTGAGACAATCTAATAAAAACACATATTTGTTTTTTGAAAAATGAGTTCATACTAAATTTACTGTATTGTAAACCTGTGGGTTTTTTTCCAATCATATATAATGATCACCTTCCCACATGGCTATATATACTTTTTGGGTTTTATGGGAATCTGTTGTATGGGTTGTCACAATTTATTTAAATATATGTTCTTCTTTTTGTTGCATATTTATGTTTTTTTTAAATTTTAAGTGATTATAAATAGTTCAGCAATCAATTTTTGTAGCTGATACTTAGAGACATACTTATTCGTCATTGCCTCCTTAGACAATATCTTACTTTTTTTTTTCCTGATAGTTCAATTCTGAACTATCAGAACTGAAAATTTGTGGTTAAAAGTTATGAAGCTTTTGGGCCGAGCGCGGTGGCTCACGCCTGTAATCCCAGCACTTTGGGAGGCGGAGTTGGGGCGGATCACGAGGTCAGGAGATCGAGACCATTCTGGCTAACACCGTGAAACCCAGTCTCTACTAAAAATCCAAAAAAAATTAGCCGGGTGTGGTGGAGGGCGCGTGTAGTCCCAGGTACTGGGGAGGCTGAGGCAGGAGAATGGCATGAACCCGGGAGGCAGAGCTTGCAGTGGGCCGAGATCACGCCACTGCACTCCAGCCTGGGCGACAGAGTGAGACTCTCTCTCAAAAAAAAAAAAAAAAAGTTATGAAGCTTTTAAAGCTCTTGATGTATGTTGACAATATGGTGCGATTATTTCTCTCTCATTCTCTCTCTCTCCCTCTCTGCACTCATATTAACACTGTTGGTTCATGCTAAATTTGTGATCACATTGCTTTCTCACATGGATAAACTGTTGCCAAACTAGGTATTCTCAATTCTCATTTGAGTACTAAAGTAACCTATAAGCTTTAATCTCTTGAGGCTTCTTTTCAGATCCTGATTCTTCAGCATGCCATTTTTGTCACCCAATCCAGATCTGTGTTATCTGTAAGTTCCATAATTAGGCCTTCGATATCTTCATCCAAATCACTTATAAATATCTTGAACTATGCAAAACCAAGACAAGCTCTTGTTGTAATTTATTGGTCTCCTTATATGTTGATATCAAATTGTTTGAAACTTTACAATCTTTAAATTTTAGAGTAGGAAATCAGCTCAGAATTAAATAGTCTGACTGCTTACTTTTGTTTTTATCTAATTAGGAAACAGACCCAGAGAAATTTAGTCATGTTTGCAAGACTACACAGCTAGAATGATAAAAAGATATACTATTATTAAATTTAATTCCAATTACATGTTCCTTTCCATTCTCCAAGTGTTGTCTTATCCAAAATTATATCATTGGAGGATTAATCACACATTTTACTGAAATCAAGAAACTTTATGGTTAGTGGCATTTCCCTGTCATCTCATCAGTGGAAATGAAGTCAGCATGGTGTACCTTATTATTTAGTGTACTTATAGTAGCTGTTCCATTTAGTAATTCAATCTACTTTTTGTTCCTCATCATGCTGTAATTATAATGAAAGCTCTTATTATATATACCCTCCTTCCTAGGTTGAAGATCATTCTCTTTCATGAATGTCAAAACAAAAATAAACTGGCAACTTGGTGTCCAATACCTTTTCATTTGTTGAGGAGGCAGGAAACCGTGTCATGGAAAGATAAAATGACTTGCTTAAGAGCAATGTTGTGTCAGTTGCCTTTTCTTTGTAATCTTTGAACATTACATCATCTTCTCTGAGACTATTTCTCTTTCTTTTCATTTTGACCACATCTACAAAGTTACTTTTGTTGTCTGGCATTTCTGAACCTCATCTTGCTCATATATCCTCAGTGAGGACTTTGGTCTTCCTGACACTGTTTATACAAGTTCACATTGATCTTTCAGCTTAGTCTTGGTCATGTGCCCCACATTTGGTGTTTTTTGTAGTCCCTTTCAGAAGATTTCTTTAGTTGCCCCCTCAAAAATTAGAGGGTTTTTTTTTTTTTTTTTTTTTTTTTTTTTTTTTTGAGACTGAGTCTCGCTCTTGTCACCCAGGCTGGAGTGCAATGGTACGATCTCGGCTCACTGCAACTTCTGCCTCCCAGGATCAAGTGATTCTCCTGCCTCAGCCTCCTGAGTAGCTGGGATTACAAGTGCCTGCCACCATGCCTGGCTAATTTTTGTATTTTCAGTAGAGATAGGGTTTTGCCATGTTGGCCAGGCTGGTCTCGAACTCCTGACCTCAGGTGATCCACCCGTCTCAGCCTCCCAAAGTGTTGGGATTACAGACGTGAGCCAGCATGCCCAGCCAAAAATTAGAGCATTTTAAAATAACTTAGGATTCTTTCCCCCAGGCCATTCTAGATTATCCCTATTATCAGAAAGTATATCCCTTTATAACATGTTTCTATAGCATGTTTCTTCCCTAAACATTTGAAATATCTTTTCCCAAACTCAAGTAGAATTTTCTATTCTCATAACTCACTGTTACCAAGTTCTGTATCACATTGTATCTTTTACCCAACATGTTTCCACTTCCACTTTGTCAACTTTCTCTTCTGATAGTTAAAATTGGGCAGAGAGTCTTTCTGTGAATGGACTCACAGTTGTCAGGAAGAGTTCTTTCCAATTTCTGATCTTATTCAGCAATGCCTGTTACTGGGTGCATAAATTTGTATAACTCAGCGTCCCAGTATTGCAAACCTACTTAGGTGCTGACATAAGCTACATTCTCCACAAATCAGTCTTGTCTGTAATACAAATTTTTTCTCTCATTTTTCTATTTGCATTATTTCTGTCTCGCTCTTGTCTCTGTTAGTTCAGGAATGGAAAAAATGGGTTTTGCCTTTTGAGCTCCCTCAAACCCCAGACCTGGGAACTATGTCAGGAAACCCTGAGTACAACTCCATGGCCTTGTGGTAAAAGCACATTAGCCTCCCATTATGAAGTCCCCTAAAGCTGGTGCTGACTAGGGCCAGATGAGTTCACTGGGAGTAAGAGGCTGTGAGGCAGTAAACTGAGCAAAGGAGGTTCTATGTTTAATGAAGAGACGATGACAAGTAATTAACAAAAGAAATAGATAATGAAGAAATAGAAAGTGAGAGGTGGCACAGGAAATTACAGATATAGAGATCATAAAATAAGTTTCCTAAATAGCTTCAGATGTAGTATAATTTGCACATGTCAGGAGTTTGATGGTAGAATAAAAGAGATTGGTGGTAGCTAGAAAAAACATTATGACAACAGCAACTCCATCTTATTTTTTTAAAGATAAATGATACTGATAGGAGAGAAGAAGTCTATGAAGAAAGAGATTACAAACATGTTAGGAAGAGAGAGAGGGGTGTGTGTGTGTGTGTGTGTGTGTGTGTGTGTGTGTGTGTGGAGAGAGAGAGAGAGAGAGAGAGAATTTTCTCCTTAAAGTAATTTTGAAATGCAGATTTCTCTGCGGGCTCACATATCTGTATTGTAACACCCAGACGCTTTGTAAGCACACTAAAGATTAGAAACTATTATTTAAGCAGATTTGAAAGGGATGGGATCTGGTGTCTACAGGCAAGGGATAAGCTTTAGATAAGAAGTAAATCTCCTCTGACACCAGTTGGAATGATGAGAAGATAGACGTATGTTTAGTAAATGGTAAAGTGGAAAAGTTGTATAAACAGTAAGGTAGGAAAACTTGCATGGCTTGATGTTCCATGGTATTTTCACCTATTATTCATTTAGTGAGAGAAATAATTTTCTGTGTGTGTTAGTCCCTGTGCCAGGCATTTTACTTTTGCTCTGTGATATAATGCTCAATGGTGACTCTATATAGTAGACATTACTATCCCCTTTTTGTCTTGAGAAAACTGAAATTTGTGGAAATGGCATAACATGTCAGGATGACACAGGAAAGGAGCAATGGAGCCAGGGCCTGTCTCCAGGTGAATCTGTCCCCACATCTGCAGCTTCTTTAGCTAGGGTGGGAGTCAGGAAACTTCTGTAAAGAGTCAGAGAATAAATATTTTAGGTTTTGTGGGCAACTACTCAACTCTGCCACTTGCAGTGCAAAAGCAGCTATAGACAATATGTAAATTGATGGGTATGCCTAGTTCCAGTAAAACTTTATTTATGGACCCTGAAATTTGAATTTCATGTAATTTTCGTGTCACAAAAATTTTTTTTCTTTTGATATTTCTTCAATCATTTAAATGTGTAAAAGCCATTCTTACCTTGCAAGCTGTACAAAAACAGTCAATGGGACAGATTTGGCCCATAAGCCATAGTTTGTCCACTCCTGGCATAGGGCACTGCTTGTCAAATTCATGCTCATCAGTACATCTTTCCAAATGCAGGAACTGAGACTATCCAATCAGAAGGAAGATGAAGCCTTATATTGTTAAGTAAAAGTCTGAAATAATTATTGTTTTCCAGAGGAAAAATATGACTGTGTTAGTTCTATCTAATTTTTTATCCTTTGATCTCGGACCTGTGTATTAGGGCATTCTTGCATTACTGTAAAGAAATACCTTTACCATTTATAAAGTAATTTATAAAGAAAAGAAGTTTAATTCATTCACAGTTCTTCAGACTTTACAGGAAGCATGGTGCTGGCAACTACTCAGCTTCCAGGGAGGCTTCTGGAAGCTTACAATCATGGCAGAAGGCGAACAAGGGGCAGGCAAGTCACATGGCAAAAGCATGAGCAAGAGCAGGTGGAGGCAGGGAGCATGTCACACACTTTTGAATGACCAGATCTCCTGTCAACTCAGAGCAAGAGCTCACTCATCACCAAAGGGATGGCCCAAATCATTCATAAGGAATCTGCCTTCATGATCCAAACACCTCCCACGAGGCCCCACCTCCAACACTGGAGATTACAGTTCAACATGAGATTTGGGTGGGGACACAGATCCAAACCAAATCAACCGGATGAAGAGAAAGTACACTATAATGGAGATTATGCTGTAGATCACCTATTTGTCCTTCCAGATTCATTTTCCAAGCTGTTCCAAGACTGAAGAGGCTGTTTGGCTGGATGCCTCCTTATAGTTTGGCTTTTGGTGGGGCTGGCCAATGGTGAGCACCTGTAGAGATTGGGAAGGAGGGAGGATAATACAGCTAGGATTTTTGTTCCTTTGCTCCTTCCCTAAAATGTCCATGTAGGTTAAATGTGTGCTGTGATGTCTCAGCTCTTTTTCAAATGTCCGCCTTAGCAGGGCACCTTCTTCCCAGGTTCTAAGAGCCACTTCTCCCCTCCACTTCTAGTCTCATGGTAGTGAGTGCTATCAGCCATGAGGTACTGTACTATGCCTTGTGTTATTCCAAATCTTTCTTGCATTTTTGTATATAGTCCTTTTATTAATCTCGTCTCAAATTACAGAATTTGAATGTGTCCTCTTGTTTCCTGTGGAAGCTTCTGATACAGAGAGCTGTGGTTGGGTTCAGCAATATCTGTTCAGGAGGCCTCTCTGGAGCATTGCAGGAAAAATAATAACCATTCCTTCCTAAATGTCGACATTGTAGCCTAAAATATATTTTAACAGCTTTATTGAGGTTTAATTTACATAAAATAAACCATATACACTTAAAACACACATTTTAATAAGTTCTGATATATGTGCATGCTATTGAAAACATCACCACAATCAATAGAAGGAACATATTCATCACCCCTGGAAGTTTCCCTGTGCCCCTTACAAATCCCTCCTGAGTACGCTTCCTGTTCCCTTGATCTCATCCTCAAGCAATTGCTGGCCTATTTTCTGCCATCACAGATTAATTTTTCTAGAATTATACGTATCAGTAGAATTATATAATATATACCCTGTTTTTGGTCTGGCTTATTTCACTTGGCATAATTATTTCTTGTTTATTTTAAATCATTGCATCAGTGAATGTTTATTGCCTGCATGTGACATATCCATTTGCCTCTGTTTAAACTTCAAGCTTTTCAAGGGATGCCACGTTTGCATTGTACTCCTAGAACCTAGCATGGTACCTCTCATACAGAAGCAACTTGACGATTATGGAACTGACATGCCAGGTTATAGATTTTCAACAATGCTGCCTCCATTTCTTTATAATTGCACAGATGTAATAATTTATCCAAGGATTAGATCTGTGAGTTACCCTGGAAACTTAACTGCCATATATAACCTGTTATAGAAGTTCCCTTCTATTCCATGATAAGAGTTGTGTTTTTTAAAATCAGAAATGGATACTGGATCTTTTTTTCTGAGTCTACTGAGATGATTATATATTTTTTCCTTTCTGTTTTTGATATGGGACATTACACTGACAGAGTTTTGAATGTTAAATCAACCTTGCATTCCTGGGATAAACCCATCTTGCTCATGAGGTATTATCCTTCTTATATTCTGTCGTATTTGATTTGCTAGAATTTTGATGAGGATTTTGTAACTATGCTCATGCAGGATACTTCTCTGTATCTATTATGTTTTTGCTTAGTTTTGGTATCAGGGTAAAACTGGTATCAGAGAAGAGTTGGAAAGTGTTTACTGCTTTTCAGTTTTCTGAAAGAGTTTGTATAGAATAGTAATTCTTCCTTCAATATTTGGGAAAATTCACCAGTGATGCCACCTGGGCCTGGAGTTTTCTTTGTAGAAAGTTTTGAACTACAAATTAAATTTCTTTAATAGACATAGGATATATGAGCTCACTTTTCAGTAAACTTTATTGGTTTTCTTTCACGTCATTTGTCCATTTTATCTAAGTTGTTGAATTGATTAGCATAAAAGTGTCCATAGTTGTCTCTTATTATCCTTTTAATATCATTAGACTCTGTAGTGATATCACTTCTCCTGGTTCTAATGCTAGTTAATTTATGTTATCTGTTTTTTGTTCCTGTTAAGTCTGGCTAGGAGTTTATCAACTTTAATGACCTTCTCAAAGAACCAGCTTTTATCTCTTCACTTTGTTGTTTCCTTCATTGTGCAGAAACTTTCGGTTTCACTGATTTTCTCTATTGCTTTTCTGTTTCCAATTTTATTGGTTTCCATAGTGATATTTGTTATTTTCTTCCCTCTACTTATTCTATGTTTACCTTTCTCTTCATTTCTAATTTTTTAAATTAGAAGCTGAAGTCATCGATTTGACACTTTTTTTCATTTCTGACATACGCATTTACTACTATAAATTTCCTTCTCATTACTACTTTGTAGGCAGCCCATAAACTTTTATATGTTGTGTTTTCATTTTAATTAGCTCCAAATGTCTAATTTCTTCTTCTTTTTTGACCCTTTAGAAGTGTTATTTAATTCTTAGAAGTGTGTTATTTAATTTCCAAATATTTGGAGATTTTCCAAAGATCTTTCTGTTAGTGATTTCTAATTTACTGCTATTGTGGTCAGAGAACATACTTGTATGATTTGAATTATTTTGAATATATTGAGACATCTATTATTGCCTAGAATATGGTCTATCTTGGTAAATATAATGTATGGATGCAATGAGAATATTTTTCAGTATAATATTCTATAAATACCAATTATGCCAAGTTGGTTGATAATGTTCAAATTTTCTATACCTTTGCTGATCTTTTCTCCACTTGTTCTATCAATTATTGAGAAAAGGGTACTAAAATCTCCAACTGCTCTTGTGTCTTTATCTATTACTCTTTTCAGTTGTACAGTTTTTATTTCATATACTTCGAAGCTCTCATATTATGTGTAGAAATGTCTAGGATTATTATATCTTCTTCATGAATGGACTTTTTTTTATCATTATCTTATCATTTATTCTCATGAAATGACCTCTTTATCTCTGGTAGTATTTTTTGTTCTGAAATCTACTTTGTCCAATATTAATACAGCTATTCCTGCTTTCTTTTGATTAGCATTAGCGTGCTATACATTTTACCATCTCCATACTTGTAACCTTTTTGTGTCTTTATATTTGAAGTGCCTTTTTTAAAGATGGCATATAGTTGTGTCTCCCTTTTTTGTACAATCTTAAAATCTCTGACTTTATATTGGATTTTTAGGCCATTTGCTTATTTTGTGATTATTAATATGGCTTGGTTTAAATCTATCATTTTGATACTTGTTCTTTATTTGTCTCACCAGTTCTTTATTCTTTTTTTTTAACTTTTTCTGCCTCTTTGGGATTGAGTACTTTTTGTGATTTATTTCATTTGTTGGCTTATTAGCTACAGTTTTTGGTTAATTTAGTGGTTACATTATAGTATATACATTTAACTCATTACACTCTACCTGTATATTATACCATTTCATGTATAGTAGAACCTTATAGTAATATATTTTCATTTTTCCTGGCCCAGACTTGGAGCTAATGTTGACACACATTTTATTTTAAAATATGTTATGAATGCCGTAATAGATGGTTTCTACTTTTGATTAAACAGCTAATTATCTTTTAAAAAGCTTTACATAATAATAACAAATTTCATTTATTTACCCATGTATTTGTGGTTTCTGGTGCCCTTCATTCCTTTGTGTAGGTCAGATTTCCCCCGATATCATTTTATTCTGCTTGAAGGTCTTTGGTTAGTATGTCTTATAGTGCCGGGGTGGTTGTAATAAATTCTTTCATCCTTTCTATTTCTGAAAAAAATCTTTATATTTTGCCCTTGCTTTAGAAAAGATATTTTAGGTTAAGTTTTTTTACTTCAGCATAATAAAAATATTGCCTATCATCTCATTTGCATTGTTTTTTGATGGGAACTGCTGTTATCCACATCTTTGGTCCACTTATAATGTGTCATTTTTCTCTGGTTTCCTTTATGTATTTTTGTTTCTCACTAGTTTTCAACTATTTACAATGGGCCTTGGTGTAGTTTTCTTCACATGTGTATCATTTGGTTCATTCAGTTATTCAATCTGTAGGATTATAATTTTTTATCAGATTTGGAAAAAAAAGTTTTCTGTTCCATCCTATTTCTCCTCTCCAATTATGTACAACTCCAATTCCATGTATATTTTGCTGTTTAAAATTGTCCTACAGCTCACTAATGCTTTGTCTACTTTTTGTTACTCTTTCCTTTGTAAAAAGAGAAAAGAGCTTTTGTTGAGAGTTTCTGTTGCCATGTCTTCAAGTACACTAATTTTCCTTTTGTCATTTATTCCATCTAGTTGTATTTTTAATTCTAGAAGTTTAATTAGGGTCTTTATACATTTTTAAAAAATACCTTCTATGTCCCTACATAATTTTTTTTTTTTTTTTTTTTTTGAGATGGAGTCTTACTCTGTCACCCAGGCTGGAGTACAGTGGCACAATCTCTGCTCACTGCAGCAACCTCTGCCTCCCAGTTCAAGCAATTCTCCTGTCTCAGCCTCCTGAGTAGCTGGGACTACAGGCACACACCACCATGGCAGGATAATTTTTGTATTTTTAGTAGAGATGGGGTTTCACCATATTGGTCAGGCTGGTCTCAAACTTCTGACCTCAGATGATCTACCTGCCTCGGCTTCCCAAAGTGCTGGGATTACAGGCGTGAGCCACCGCACCCAGCCTTTCCTTTCTATGAGTCATATTTTCCCACCTCTTTGAATGCTGGCAATACGTGATTGAATGGTAGGCACTGTGAATTTTACCTTGTTGAGTGTTGTTTATATTTCTTTTATTATTTATTTATGTATTTATTTAAGACACGGTCTTGCTCTGTTACCAGGCTCCAGTGCAGTGATGTGATCAACCCTCAATGCAGCCTCAAACTCTGGTGCTTAGACAATCCTCTTGCCTGAAACTTCCAAGTATCTAGGACCACAGGTACATACCACCACACCTAATTTTCCTTTTCTTTTTTTATTTTAATTTTTATTTAAGATTCAGGGCTACAAGTGCAGTTTTGTTATATAGGTAAATTCATGTCACAGGTGTGTGGTGTACAGATTATTTCATTACCCAGGTACTAAGCATTAGTTCCTGATAGGTATTTTTTTCTGATCCTCTATTTCCTCCACCTTCTTTTCTCTATGAGCCCTTGTGTCTATTGTTCCCCACTTCATGTCCATATGTTCTTGTTGTTTAGCTCTCACTTTTAAGTCAGAACATGTGGTATTGGGTTTTCTGTTTCTGTGTTAGTTTGCTTAGAATAATGGCCTCCAACTCCATCTGCGTTGCTACAAAGAACATGAATTCATTCTTTTTTCTGACTGCGTAGTATTCCATGGTATATATATATATATATACCACATAGTCTTTATCCAGTCTACCGCTGATGGACATCTAGATTGACTCCATGTCTTTGCTATTGTGAATAGTGCTGCAATGAACATATGCACGAATTACTCTTTATGGTAGAATCATTTACATTCTTTTGGGTATACACCCAATAATGGGATTCCTGGGTTGAATGGTAATTCTGTTTTGAGTTCTTTGAGGAATCCCCACACTGCTTTCCACAATGGCTGACCTAATTTACACTCCCACCAGCAGCGTTTTGCATCCCTTTTCCCTGCAATCTCTCCAGCATCTGTTAATTTTTTACTTTTTAATAACAGCCATTCTGACTGGTGTGGGATGGTATCTCATTGTGGTTTTGATTTGCATTTCTCTAACAATTAGTGATGTTCAGAATTTTTCACATACTTGTTGGCTGCATGTATGTCTTCTTGTGAAAAGTATCTGTTCATGCCCTTTGCCCACTTCTTAATAGGGTCATTTGTTTTTGCTTGTAAATTTGTTTAAGTTCCTCATAGATTCTGGATATTAGACTTTTGTCAGATCATAGTTTGCAGATATTTTCTCTCATTCTATAGGTTGTCTGTTTGCTCTGTTGATAGTTTCTTTTGCTGTGCAGAAGCCCTTTAGTTGAATTAGATCCCATTTGCCAATTTTGTTTTTGTTACAATTGCTTTTGACATCTTCATCATGAAATTATATTGCCTAGGTTATATCCAGGATTTTTAAAATTTTAGTTTTCACATTTAAGTCTTTATTCCATTTTGAGTTTATTTTTGTATATAGTTAAAGGAAGAGGTCAAGTCTGAATCTTCTACATATGGCTAGCCAGTTATCCCAGCACCATTTATTGAATATGGAGTCCTTTCCCCATTGCTTGTTTTTGTCAGCTTTGTCAGACTTCAGATGGTTGTAGGTGTGTGGCCTTATTTCTGGGTTCACTACTTTTCTATTCCATTGGTCTATGTGTCTGTTTTTGTACCAGAAACATGTTATTTTGTGTACCATAGCCCTGCAGTATAGTTTGAAGTCAAGTAACGTGAGGCTTCCAGCTTTGTTCTTTTTGCTTAGGAGTGCCTTGGCTATTAAGCACTTTTTTTGTCCCACAGGAATTTTAACATAGTTTTTTCTAGTTCTGTGAAGAATGTTGTTGGTAGTTTGATAGGAATAGCACTGAATTTGTAAACTGCTTTGGACATTATGCCATTTTAATGATATTGATTCTTTTTATCAATGAACATGGAATGTTTTTCCATTTATTTGTGTCATCTTAGGTTTCTTTCTTTTTTTTTTTTTTTTTTGAGTTAGGGTCTCATTCTATCACCCAAGCTGGAGTGCAGTGGCATAATCTCAGCTCACTGTAGCCTTGACTTCCTGAGCTCAAGTGATCCTCCCACCTCAGTCTCCTGAGTAGTTGGGATTACAGATGTGTTCCACCACGCCTGGCTAATTTTCTGTAGAGAGGGGGTTTCTCACCATGTTGCCCTGGTCTCGAACTCCTGGGCTCAAGAGATCCTCCCGCCTTGGCCTCCCAAAGTGTTGGGATTACAGGCATGAGTCACCGTGCCTGGCCATCTCTGATTTCATTAAGCAATGTTCTGTAATTCTCACTGTAAAGACTTTTCACCACCCTGGTTAGCTGTATTCCTAGGTATTTTATTTTTGTGGCAGTTGTGAATGGAATCGTGTTTCTGATTTGGCTCTCAGCTTAGATGTTGTTGGTGTGTAGGAATGCTACTGATTTTTGTACATTAAGTTTGTGCTCTGAAAATAGGCTAAAGTTGATTATCAGCTCGAGGATCTTTTGGGCAGTTACTATTAGGTTTTCTAGATAACCTATTGGTTTTATCCTGTGAGGAATAGTGGAAGGTAGGCCTGCAGACTGTCACTGCTGAACTTCTTGGATTCAGCTCCTCTCTTAGGGGTGTGTGAGGGAGCCTAATCTTTCCCTTTGCTTGTTCAGCAGCCACTAATGCCAGATGTTCAGGGATCCAAGGCTCCTGGGACTCCACATGTGCCTGAGCAGTGGCTCTGCCTAGGTTCCACGTAGCTCTGCATTCGGTCTGATGGCCATGGTGGGGTGGGCAAACAAGGGGATCTCTTTAACATAGGGTTTAAAGGTCCATGGAGAAAGTGTGGATCCCTGGGATCTCTCACTTACTCACCATTTCCCCATGGTTGGGGAGCCTCCCCTGGCTCCATGCCATTCCCAGATGGGTGATTTTCCTGTCTTGCTCCTCTTCATTCTCCATGGGTTGAGTTCTTTCCGTGATGAATCCCAGTGTGTTCACCTGGATCTATCAGTTGAAGACGCAGTATTTAGTCACCACTTTATCTTCTCTCTGTGAAAGCAGCACACACTTGCTACTTCTAGTCAGCTATCTTCGCCCTCCCCTCCTTAATTTTTATTATTATTGTTATTTGTAGAGTTGGGATCTCACTATGTTGTCCAGGCTGGTCTCAAACTCCTGGCATCAAGCAATCCTTCCACCACAGCCTCCCCAAATGTTGAGCTTACAGGCATGAGCCACCATGCCTGGCCCATATTTGTATTTTTATAAATATTCTTAAACTTTGTACTGTGATGTAATGTTTCTCAAGAAACTGGTTTTTGGTGGTGTTACTTTTAAGATCTGTTAGGGACCAAAGCAATACTCATTCTTGGGCTAATCATTCCCCATTACTGAAGTGAAAAAGTTTGTGTGTACAGTACCAATGTCCCCCGATTCTTGAGCTGTTTCAGTTTGATTGGTAGAAACATGCACTATTGGCCTTGTGTAAACATCAGACATTGCTACCTTTAATAATTTGGGGTGTTTTTTCCCCAAGTCTCATGTAGTTTCCTCAGTGCATACACTGATTAGTATGCAGGTGAATACTTGCAGGGGATGCCTTACAGATTTCCAAATACTGTGATATTATGTATGGAGTTGTCTCTTTTATGGCACTCTGTCCTGAGAACTCTAGAAGCTCTCATAAATCTCAACTCCTTCTCTCAACTCAGGGAGTCCAACTCTCCACCTGGTTTCCTCTCACTACTCTAGTCTGGAAATTCAAGTCAGTCAAAGGGCTTATTTCATTTGTTTCCCATCTCTCAGGGATTGCTGTACGTTGTTGCCTGATGTCAGTGTCTTGCAATCCATTGTTTGCAAAAACTGACAACACAAGAGACATTTTGTGTTTGGAAACAAGAAGGTAGTTCATCACATGGTATTCATTTTTAAAATGTATATATATATATACACACACACACACACATACACACACACATACATATATATACACACACATATATAATTTTTCCAGTTCTCTATGAGAAGGGTCACTGTTTTGCTAAGCAACAATTATCTGGATTACAAGGGAGGAACTTTTTTTCTCTTCCCTTACTGTCATCCAAATGGAGTCTCGCTCTGTGTTCTGAGCCACCCAGGCCTGGATGAACTGACATAAGCATTCCTGTGGCCACCACCACTGAGATTGTACTGGATTAGACCTGGTGCCAGCACTGCACTGGGTCTTGCCCAAGGCCTGCTGTAACCATTCTTTGGGCCCTGGGATTCTACAATCAGGAGGTAGCAAAGTCAGCTAGGCCTCTCTCATTTTCTCCAGGGTGGTGAGTTCCCCCAGTCCCTGGGTGGGTCTATAGGTACCATCCAGGAGCCAGAGACTACAGTTAAAAACCTTAGAAGTCTACCTGGTATTCTAATATACTGTGGCTTAGCTAGCACTCAAACCACAAGATGCAGTCCTTCCCACTCTTGCCTCCCCTTTTCAAAGCAGAGGAGACTCAACTCATGGCCACACCACCACAGGATCACAAGGAATACTGCCAAACTATTGCTGATGTTCCCTTAAGGCCTTAGGGCTCTGTAGTCAGCTTGTGGTGACCCTTCGGGAACTGACCTCCCCTCTGACCCAGGGCAGGTCTAGAAATGCCATCCAACAGCCACGTCCTGGAATCCAGATGTTCTACCCTCCTGTGGCTGAGCTGGTGCCTAAGGTGCAAGTCACAGTCCCCTTTACTTTTCCCTCTGCTTCTCTCAAGCAGAAGGAGTCTCCTCCCATAGCCACCACAGCTAAGAATTTGCTGATTCCCACCTGGAGTCATCATGTCTCAGAGTCTCACCTAGGGCTCTCAACATACTGCCTGGATATTGCTACTGGTTGTTCAGGGGCCAAGGGCTCTTCAGTTAGCAGGTGATGAATGATGCCAGAACTGGGTCCTTTCCTTCACAGTAACAGGTTTCCTTCTGGAACAGTGTGTGTCTAGAAATGTCATCTGAAAGCTAGGGCCTGGAACAGGGGCCTCACAACTGTGACTGGTACCCAATCCTGCTGTGGCTGAGCTGGTATACTATATGCCAGACAAAGTCCTCCGCACTCTTTCCTCCCCTTTCCTCAACAGAAGGACGGGATCTCTTTTGGAGCCATAAGCTGTGCAGCCTGATTCCCATAGACACCTCAGCTGATGGCTCGGCAGGTCATGTGCCCTCCCAGTCCACTGTCTCTGGATCCAATTCAACACTAGGAATCACTCAAGAATTGCAGTTCTTATATCCTAGACTGTTTCTCAAGTTTACTTAGAGACACAGAGCACTGCAGGCCACAGTGGTGAGGCTTGCAGGAACTCAAGTTTCAACCTCTGGGATAAGTGATTCCCCTCTGGCTAGGGCTGGTTCAAATGCTCCTCCATGGGCGGGTGTCAGCTGAATTTGGTCTGCTTTTCCTTTCTGCTATAACAAGGTGGCACTCTGTTCAACGCCTCACAGTTGCTGTGCCCTCCCTCTCCCAGAGCAGAGGAACACTCTTTGCACCATGCCACTGCTGCCAGGGGATGGGGTAGAGGTAGTGATATGGTTTGGCTGTGTCTCTACCCAAATCTCATCTTGAATTCCAGTGGGAGGGGCGCAGAGGGAGATAACTGAATCATGGGGGCAAGTCTTTCCTGTGCTGTTCTCATGATAGTGAATAAGTATCACAAGAGCTGATGATTTTAAAAAGGGGAGTTTCCCTGCACAAGCTGTCTTCTTCTTTTGTCTGCCACAACGTGAGATGTGCCTTTCACCTTCTGGCATGATTGTGAGGCTTCCCCAGCCATGTGGAACTGTAATTCTCTTTCTTTTGTAAACCTCTTTCTTTTGTAAATTGCCCAGTCTCAGGTATGTATTTATCAGCAGCATGAAAACAGACTAATATAGGTAGCACTGATAATTCTAGACTGTTTTTCATACCACTTCAGTGCCTCTTTCTGTGATATGAAGTTAAAACCAGGTACTATGAGTGCTTACTTGATTTTTGGTTCCTATGAAGGCGGTTTTTGTGTGTAGATGCTTGTAAATTGGTGTCTTTCCTGGGGGATTAGGAGGCGACAATTAGTGGAGCCTTCTATTCTGCCATCTTGCCCTGCCCCTGTTTAGAATACCTTAATTTTTGAAAATTCAGAGCTCAGTACAACTTCTTAGTTAAAACTCTAGATAAAAGTGTGAAGTAAAGTTAACTTTATATTGCTTCTATACACCTAACTCACACACAGATAAACAAACTCCTTTGATACATTCTGCAAAACCCAAAGTAAAAGCAAACATCAAATACTTAGTCCAAATACAACAGCTGTATTTGGACTGTAAGTAGCAAGAGTAGCAGAGGAAGTCGAATTTAAATGAGTATTGTGTGTTTTGAGAGGAAAAACTCTGGAATATCAGTCAGTGATAGCAATAGATTATGATGATGGCTGGCAGATATAAAATGTTTCTGCAGATGGATGTAGAGGTTATTATGTATTGGAAAAGATTTTTAGGAGGAAAGACAGTTCAAATGGTGACAAGCACATCTTCCATTGCTTTTGAGACTCAGGGAGAGATAAAATCTTGGGAGAAGTGAATAGAAAAATATCACCTAACCTCAATGTTATAACTTCTAAGAAAAATCACTTGTCCCAAGAGAAAGAAGAGAAATCTATGGCAAATTTCTTGGGTGGTTAGGCTACAAGCTTGGAATACACTTTTGGGTCAGAGCTCAGGAATATATTCTAGGATAAGTGGTACTGTTTGACCTGATGCACTACTAGAAGCTGTTTTGTTCTCAGAGGGAGGTTGTCATTATATAAGAGAAAAAGCGCTTGAACTCTGGCTGGAGCATATTGCAAAATTTAGAAATGGTAATGCTTATTGGGGAGACTTGGGGAGTTTGTCACATGTATTTTTACATTTAAACATTGATAAACATTTATCACTGTCCATGGTCACCTTTGGTAATTGGGTTCTCATGTTGAAAGCACTGAGAAACATGAACAGTTTTGTGGCACATTCCTAGCTACAATTCAAAACGAGGATAAAAATGACTCTAGAAAACTATAGTGTGTAAATGATACTCCAGAAATTGGTGCCTGTAACAGTGACTCTCAAGCTGTGTTTCAAGGAAACCTAGGGCTCTGAGAAGGAACCTCGAGTGTTTTCTGGAGGTGATCATTGAAGATAGGGCTTCAGTTCCTCTGCTTCTACTTTAAATAGGAAAAGTCTATCTGTATATGTTTTATATACAAAGATTTTGTAAAAGCTTTTACTTTAAAAGAAATTTTTGGCCTCTTGATTTTTATTTTGATGCAAGCTCTTTATCGCATCACATACAAGTAACACGAAGTTCACAGGTAGGAACTGGTCTGCAGGCCATATTTTGAATAGCACTAATGTAGAAAATCCTATAGGAACTACCTCTGACCCTTAAGTTAACCACAGATGTACATCTTAAGACTTTGAACAATAACCTTGTCAGAAAAATAGAATAGTAAAGTGTTTCTTCCCTAGAAATTATATGAAGGCTTAGACCTTAGAGAAATATCAAGTCAGAATGAGAGAAATTGGCGAATAATTAAACAAATGTGCCTAGTAAATGAGTCCGAGCTGGGCTCATCTACCTCAAGAGTACTTGCTGGCAATGGGGAGACTATTAGAATATTGAGAAGTTAAAGTGCTTGCCATCACATACTGTATCTGTATTAATGTTATAGAGATTCAGAATTAGGGGACTATCTAAAGGGAGACAGTGTGGCAACACAGTTAGATGCTTAAGTCTGGTGTTATATTGCCTAGGTTCAAAAACTAATGGTACCACTTCCCAGCTATGCAAATCAGGTGATTAACATAACTTCATTAAGCTTCAGTTTCTTTATCTATAAAATACGAGTAATGATAATCATACCTAATGAGGTTGTTATGAGGATTAAATAATTCATATAGAACACTCAGCATATGATTAATATATGTTAGCTATTGTTATTTTTTGAATCAAAGTAAAGTATTTTTTACAGCTTTTTTTTTCTTTTTTTATTATTATTATACTTTAAGTTTTAGGGTACATGTGCACAATGTGCAGGTTAGTTACATATGTATACATGTGCCATGCTGGTGTGCTGCACCCATTAACGCGTCATTTAGCATTAGGTATATCTCCTAATGCTATCCCTCCCCCCTCCCCCCACCCCACAACAGTCCCCAGAGTGTGATATTCCCCTTCCTGTGTCCATGTGTTCTCATTGCTCAATTCCCACCTATGAGTGAGAATATGTGGTGTTTGGTTTTTTGTTCTTGCGATAGTTTACTGAGAATGATGATTTCCAATTTCATCCATGTCCCTACAAAGGACATGAACTCATCATTTTTTATGGGTGCATAGTATTCCATGGTGTATATGTGCCACATTTTCTTAATCCAGTCTATCATTGTTGGACATTTGGGTTGGTTCCAAGTCTTTGCTATTGTGAATAGTGCCACAATAAACATACGTGTGCATGTGTCTTTATAGCAGCATTATTTATAGTCCTTTGGGTATATACCCAGTAATGGGATGGCTGGCTTTTGAGCCAACACTAAAATGAGAGCATAATGGCAAAATAGGACTTTCTGCACTAGTCCCCTTGCAGAAACAACAATTTGAACAACTATCCATGCATGAAAATACCTTTAAAAGAGCTAAGGAATCCAAGTGAGAGATTACAGCACCAAAGTGTAGCATAGAAATAAAAAAAGAGGCTTGAAATAAAGTAGGAAGATCACTTTCACATCACCCACATCACCCGTACCCCAAGCCTTGGCAGCACAGAATGAAGAGAGATACTTTGTGCATGAGAGAAGTAGAATTATGTGGCAAGACCCTGGAGACCCTGGCACCAGGCCCACCCAAGAGAAACATGGCACCAGGCAAGCACCTGTGGCCACAGACTTTAGACTAGTGTCTTCAGACTCATGCTCCAGTCTAATTCTGGGACCAGGCTGGTCTTCCTAGCTTGAGGTCCAGGCTCATCCCAGTGAACCCAGGTTATGGGACTACCCCTGCATATCCAGGACAAAGGCACAACCCTATGATCTGAGGCTTCACGTCTATCTACTCACTGACCCACGCATTAGGCCAGTCCACACAAGGACTCTAGCAGCAAGCTTGTCCATTGACCCCTCCAGATGGCCCACCCAGAATCAATATGGACTGACTAGTGAGGGCTTTTCCTACCAAATACACTTTATAAACACTGAAAGAGTTGATTGTTTCTTCAAATGCACAAACACCAACACAAGGCCACAAGGATAAAAAAGAAACAAGTAAATAGGACACCACTAGTGGAACAAAATAAAACACCAGCAACAGAGCTTACAGAAATGGAGATCTGTGAACTGCCTGATAGATAATTCAATATAATATTCTTAAAAAAATTCAGTGAGCTACAAGAAACACAGACAACTAAACAAAAATTTAAAAGAAATACAAAAACAAAGTGAGAAGTTCAACAAATAGATAGAAACCATATCAATCAAACACAAATTTTGGAGCTAAAGAACACAGTGACTAAATTGAAAAATTCCATAGAAAGTTTAAACAGTGGACTCAATCAAGCAGAAGTAAGAATCAGTGAGCCCAAAGACAAGTCATGTGAAATTACCTAGTCAGAGGAGAGAGAGGAAGAAAGAATGAAAGCAAGTTGACAAAAGCCTAGGGGACAAAGCCGTATGATCATCTCAATAGATGCATAAATAATATTTTATAAAATTCAACATTTTTAGTAATAAAAAACTCTCAACAAATTATGTATAGAAGAAACATACCTCAACATAATAAAGGCCATTTATGACAAGCCCACAGCTAACATCATACTCAACAGTGAAAAATTAAAAAGGTTTTCCTCTAAGATGAGGATCAGGACAGGAATGCCCACTCTCCCATTTTTGCCACTTCCATTATAGCCCTGGAAGTCCTAACCAGAGTAATTAGATAATAAAGAGGAAAAAAATGCAATCAAATCAGAAAAGAAGAAATAAAATTTTCCATTTGCAGATGACATGATCTCATATATAAAAATACCCTAAAGACTTCAACAAAAAATTGTTAGAATAAACAAAGTCAGTAAAGTGGGAAGACACAAAATCAACATGCAGGCCTGGCGTGGTGGCTCATGCCTGTAATCCCAGCACTTTGGGAGGTTGAGGCAGGTGGATCATGAGGTCAGGAGATCAAGACCATCCTGGCCAACATGGTGAAACCCTGTCTCTACTAAAAATATGAAAATTAGCTGAGTGTGGTGGTGTGTGCCTTTAGTTCCAGCTACTCAGGAGTCTGAGGCAGGAGAATCACTTGAACCCGGGAGGCGGAGGTTGCAGTGAGCTGAGATCACACCATTGTACTCCAACCTGGGTGACAGAGCGAGACTCCATCTCAAAAATAATAATAAAAAAATCAACAAACAGAAGTCATTATCTTTTCTCTAAACTCAAACTATGTGAAAAAGAAATCAAGAAAACAATCCTATTTACAATAGCTATAAAGAATAGAAAACTTAGGAATAAATGAAAATAAAATACAGGTTGAATATTCCTTGTCTGTAATACTCAGGACCAGAAGTGTTTTGGATTTTGGAATATTTGCATTATACTTAGTAGTTGAGCATTCAAAATCTGAAAATCTGAAATTCAAAATACTCCATTGAGAATTTCCCTTGATTTTTATATTGGTGCTCAAAAAGTTTTGAATTTTGGAGCCTTGCAGATTTCAGATATTTGAATTTTGGATGCCTAACCTGTACTTACAAATAAATTTAACCAAGTCAGTAAAAGCTGTATTCACTGAAAACTGTAAAGCATTCATGAAATACATTGAAGAAGAGGCAAATAAATGGAAAGATACCCTGTGTACAAGGAGTAGAAGAATTAATATTGTTAAAAGTGATCTACAAATTTAAGACAATCTCTGTCAAAATTGCAATGATATTTTTCATAGAAGTAAAAAAAATACCCAAAATATATAAGAAACTCAACTCAGCAGAAAGAAAACAAATAACCTGATCGAAAAATGGGTAAAGGAATAGGCTTTTCTCAAAAAAGACACTATCCTGTCTTAGTCCATTTATGCAGCTATAACAAAATACCATAGCATGGGTAAATTATGAACAATAGAGTTTCATTTCTCACAGTTCTGGGGGCTGGGGAGTCCAATATCAAGGTGCCAACATTTAGTGTCTGGTGAAGGCCTTCTTGCTGAATCCTTACATGGTAAAAGGGGCAAACATTATGTTCTCACAATGAGGAAACAGAAGAGTGAAAAGAGAGTGTGGCAGCTCTTTGCATCTCTTTTAGGAGGGCACTAATCCATTCATGAGGGCTCCAACCTCATGACTTACCATTTAAAGGCCCCACCACTTAATACTATCACATTGGTGATGAAGTTTCAACAGAGGAATTTTGGAGGACACATTTAGACCATAGCATATCCAAAGAAATGAATTAAGTATATCAAATAGATGTCTGTATTCCCACATTCATTGCAGAATTATTCATAATAGCCAAGATATGGAATCAACCTGTGTTCATCCACAGAAAAATGGATAAAATGTATACATGTACAATGGAATATTCTTGAGCCTTAAAAAAGAAGGAATTCTTATCATTTTCAACAACATTATGATAAGTAAAATAACCCGGGCATAGAGAGATAAATACTACATGATATCACTTATATGTGGAATCTAAAAAGCCTAACTCATAGACGTCAGGAGTAAAATGGTGGTTGCCTGGGCAGGGGGAAGGGGTTGGAAGGAAGGAGGAGAGGATGTTTGTCAAAGGGTACAATGTTTCAATTAGATGAGATGAATAAGTTCTGGAAATCTATTATAATAGGGTGACTATAGTTAAAAACAATGTTGTTATTTGAAATTTGTTGTATACTTGAAAATTGCTGAGAATGGATCTTAAATGTTCTCACTAAAAAAAGTATAACTATGTAAGGTGATGAATATGTTAATTATCTTGATTGTAATAATCACTTTACAATGTATACATATATCACAACATCATGGTTCACACCACAAATATATATAATTTTTATTTTTCCATTATACCTTAATAAAGCTAGGGAAAAAAAGATGTCATGCTAATAATAATTTATAACACTAAAATGAATCATAGATATGTTAAATATTATTGAATTAGGAGCAGGAGGAAAATGCATTCCATATGGGGAAAGGATCATATCAAGCGTCAAAGTTTATACCTTGCCATGATGTGCATATATGAAAGGGTGATGAAATTTTGCACCTAGTTTTCATAAGCTGAAAACTGTAGAGAACAAACCAATGATTTTCAGACCCAATGAATGAGTCCTGAAGACCTACAGAAGTAAATGTAAGTTCTTCCTCTGATATTTTCTACTTGACTGTGTCTGGAATCAGCTTGGTAAAGTACTCCACAGATCACTTCCCCCGGTCAACCCCTGGATGCTTTTCTAAAGATCACAATTTCAGGAAAATAGTCTGTTTATTTTTAATAACAATTTCCTCTGCAAAAGAAAAGACTCTTACCTTAGATGCTAGTAAAACAGTGATAGACTATATAATGTGTTTTAAGAGGTTAAACCATGGAAAAATTATCCCTGGACAGAAAACCCATGGCATCAGAACAGTGCTCGGTAACTCTGACTGGGAAGATACTCATTCAAGGGCTTAGCATGAAATGAATAATTGCTGAGCCACTAAAGAAGAAAATACCAACAACATTAACTAGCTTTTGCTTGGTTCCATTAGAAGGAGCCTAATTGGAACCAGCCTCAGGCAGATACAACAGGTGCACTAAGGTCCTGGCTGCCTCACTTACAACCACAAAGAGAAAAAATGTTTCCCTCTTCCTACCATTCAGGAGCTCCTAAGACAGGTGAACAGGACTAATGTTCACAGGGATCAGCTCTTGGAGAAAGCATTAGCAAAACCAGGGAGTCAGGGATTAGAATGACACAGACATGTCACAGAGATCCAGGCCCTAGCCATGTCCTAATGCAAGGAGAGGCAAGTTGCTCTAGCTTTGGGGGTTGTCATCACCTATCAATACCTCCTGCTTACCATGAGACCACCATTCTTCCAATTATGCATTTTACCCTGCTTCCTCTAATGAGTTTTCACTGTAGTCCTGTGGATGTTGTTCAAAAGGCATCACTTCTGTTCAAAATGCCACCAGTTCCCAAAAAGTACTGATTCTACCAAAGATAAACGATTTCAAAATCGGGTGGTTTTTAAATCTTCTATAAACTGTGTTTCTTCCTCAAATATACGTTGTGACTATTTCTCCACTATATCATTGTGGCAAACATCATAATATTTATTTAAATGGTTCTCTCTCTTCTCTCACTATAAATGGTGTTAGAAGAGACTTGAAAGGGAGATTGCTTGAGTTTCTGTGTCACTCTCCACAGCTGCTCCTAGTCGTTGAGGTTTATACCACCATTTACAAAGAGCTGTTATATCTAGATACATCATATTTAGAGGCAAATGTTTTCTAAATCCAGTTCTACCTCTACTGACAAAGAAAAGGGTGTGCAGGAGTTGGGCTGGAGACTGGCTGCTTTCCTAAACTAAAATTGTCCAAATGGCACTTCCTGATGAGTCAAGGAGAGTCTATGGGCAGGGAGCTTGCATGTCATTACCAAGGTTACTGAAGCACTCCTTGGAGCATATTTTCAGCAGCATTGATTTTATGTAGAGACAGATGGGTTAGCTATTTTATTTAATTTGAGGGCTTCAAAAAGCTAGTCTCAATACAAATTCTATTCCTATTTATGTGATCTCAAATTCTTGCCATAGATACCTTCTAGAGATACATATCTTCTAAATAAATAAGATTTTTTCCTCTAAGCACTAGGGTTACAGATTAGCTAGCCAACACATTAGCAGGGGTTAGTTACCTAATCAATAATTAATGATATCTCTCTTCAATCAGGGGAGCATAGGTATCTGACAGGTGAATAAAAAGTGGCAGTTTATTATGAGAATTAAATAAGGCATTGCCTGTAGAGTACTGGAAACTCAGAAGATGCTGAATAAATAGTAGTTCTCATAACAGTTAGAAAAATAAAAACAGAATAAGTGATTATTAGGTTTCAAAGTCAAGCTGGAAAAGCTCTTTATGACAGTGCTTCTTAAATTCTATGCAACTGCAATGAGAACCAGACATTGCTGTCCCATATGCCTCTGCAGTCCCAGGAGCTCCTGAAAAGAAGTCTGAGGTGGTTTTTTTCCTATCATTTCTTATTCTAATGCCATTCACATGAGAATATACATGATTAATATCAGATCAATGATAGTTATGGAGAAGAGAACACAAAAAATACCAGGTAAGCTTTTGGAGGCAGGAGTAGTTTATTCTGTCTGCTCTAATTACCCTGGGTAATTAGAAAAGGAAAAATAATTCTATATAGGCCACTGAATGAGATCTCATTTCCTATGAGAGATAAGATCCAGCTTCCTCTGGAAAATCACCAAATCAAACTTGCTTCATCACTTACTGCTGCCATAAGCTCTTTAGATGAGTTGGGAAGATAGGTTCTTTTCATCTAAAGCCCTTGCCCCTGGACAAATCACTCAACCTCTGTGAGTCTTGGTTTTCTCATCTATGAAATGAGCATAATGTCAACATTATCTACTTCATCAATTGTTATGAAAATCAACTGAGGTAATATATGACCTTTTATTAAAAAAACACTTATGAAACAAAATGTTTCAGGTAATCTACTGGGCATTGAAGGCACTAAACACGAGTAAGACATAGTCTCCCCCTCACACAGGGAGTCACACACATAAATAATGGCTGCTTATGATAAAAAAAAATACCATAATGGAGATACAACAGAAACCCATCTGTCCATTAAGTTAGGACTGATAGAAGAGTGGCTATCAAAAAGTTCATTTAAGTAGAATATCATATGAGTGATGTATGTGTGTGTGCATATGTGTGTGTGTATATATATATATATCTTTAACTTAACCCAAACAAATACACATTTGTTCGTCAATTTTTTATGTTCTACATAGTTCCCTGTGCATGGATCTACTGATTGGAGTTCTTAGTTCCATTTCTTCCATAAACCATACCTATAAGATACTATGCATGCTTCCCAATAAGGACGGTATTGTTAAAGTAGAATGAGAGCTTAAAAGAACCGTGGAGAACTAATTTGCAAAGACACTTATAAATCCAGTAGTTTGGAATAGACAACACAGACAGCATGTCATTTTCAGTTGTACCCATAAGGGAGATAAATAACTTAAAGGAAAAAAGCAGCTGTTGAGGTGTTGGGGAAGGTAGAAGGGCTTTTGAGGAACAGGAAACAAGATATGGAAATCAGAAAGGGATGATTCATGGAAGATATGCTTCAGGCACACTTTCCCAACACCCTTGGGAAATGTGGCCAAAGGATAGATGCCTGAGAGAAACTGAACAGATAGGTATGATTTTAATCACCATGTTCAATTTTTCAACAACTCTAACCTATTCATGCTGGATCATCTAAACTTTCTGAATATTCAATTTATCTTTATGTCACTATGTCCAAATTTCTGAACAGATTCATCTACCATACCTACTTCCATACATGGGAAAAAAGAGAGGTAAAAAAAAAATCCATATAGACATATTTCTAGCCTATGGAATTGAGGCAGAATTCACTGACCTCACCACTAGTGGACTGAGAAAATGCAAGGCCCATTGACCTGGGGCAAGGCAAGCATAAACGTAAGCTTCCACCAGTCATCTTGCTGAAAAATTGTGATTGCAAAAAAGCTGTTGCATAGCACCTTGTAATGTTAGAAGGCTGATTTTCACCACCATGCCTTCCCTTAGGGATCACTCCTTACCTGACTAAAGTCTTACTCCTTTTTCAATAGGAGCTCAAATGCCACCTCTCCACAAACAGTGATCCTTGACCTCTATCTCATTGTCCCTTAGTCCGATAACAATACTATGTTATTGACAATGAGATAGATGTCATTCTATGTCCTGCAATAACATATTTCTTGAAGGTTATTTCATTCTGTCTTGGGATATATTTGTATCTGCAAGTGGACTGTAAGCTTCCTGGACATGGGATCTTTATTTTCTGGACTCTGTTTCTCCCAACAGTGTCTTCTACAGTGGAGTCAGTAGTTATACAGTAAGAACTAATTTGTTCAGCTGAAGAAAGAAAGGTATGAATAAGAGGTTTTGGTATCCTGGAAGAGAAACAGTTGCATTTATGAAACATGCTCCTAGAAATGATGGCAAGATTTGGGGGTAAATTTGGAGGGGGTCTAGTGTTCAGGCAAAAAGACATAAAGAGGGCTGGAAAATATGAACTTAGAGTAAACATCAGAGGAATTGGGATGGTTTAGCATGGAAATGGAGAGAATTTGGCATAGTCAATAGGAGAATATTATTATGTACATCAAGTAGTTAAGTAAAGAAAGATTCGTAGCTGTCTTATAGCTCTACTGATGATGAAACTAACAGGAATATCACTCAGTTTATCTAATTTTCTTCCACATATTTCTTTTTTCTTTTCTTTTTTTTTGAGATGGAGTCTCGCTCTGTCGCCAGGCTGGAGTGCAGTGCCGTGATCTTGGCTCACTGCAACCTCTGCCTCCTGGGTTCAAGCGATTCCCCTGCCTCGGCCTCCTGAGTAGCTGGGACTACCGGCATGCACCACCACGCCTAGTGAATTTTTGTATTTTTAGTACAGACGGGGTTTCACCATGTTGGTCAGGACAGTCTTGATCTCTTGACCATGTTATCTGCCTGCCTTAGCTTCCCAAAGTGCTGGGATTACAGGTGTGAGGCACCGCCCCAGTCATCCACATATATCTTGACATCAGAATCCTTTCTTCATCTACCATGTTTCTGTGTCACTCTGTAAAAATAAAGGGAGCAATGATACTTTACAGGCCATTGGAATTTTATTAAGCTGGTATGTAAAAATGCACATTAATCAGTGTCTGGGCCAGTGCCCAGGAGTCTAAATTTCATCTTAAAATTAGTCAGCGTTGACAATGTTTCTCAAAGATCCCCTAGAGTACCTTTACCTGGAGAGTACCTTTACCTGGTCTATTATGTTTACTAGGCCCCTATGAATATATGCTCTATACGTAAATGTGTTTAATGGCCATTAGACTGGGCCTAGAGTGGCAGTGCTCTATCCAGATGACAGTGCTGCTTTAGTTGAGGAAAAGAGAAAGCCAACAAAGTACCACACGCTTATCCAGAACGCAACAATTGGACTCTGAGAACTTTCTCCATCTATCAGAATGAGAAGCCTGGCCTATTTCTTAAAAGCTAAGGAGAGTTGGGGAAGCAGGTAGGCTGATCCTTAGTTAGACATTCAGTCAGCCTGTATGTATACCCTTCGAAGTAGATGTTACTTGAAAAATCACTTAGACCATCATAACGTGAAAGACAATTTTCATATGAGCATTACTTTGTCTTACAGAGTGATAACTGCTAACAAATGCAGTTTCACTATTATAAAGAGGGGGGGGAATCCAGGCACATTTGTGTGTGTGCGTGTGTGTGTGTGTGTGTGTGAGAGAGAGAGAGAGAGAGAACTGCATCTTTATTTGTTGTCAGAAGACAAAACCTCACAGCAGCAAAAGAGATAGACTGACCCCAGAGCTAGCTGAGTGCAGAGGAAAATCATTTGCATAAATACTTTACCCTGCCCTGGGGCAGATTTGCAACTCATCACTAAGGAGCTGTAGTGGGAAGGATGAGGAGAGAAAGAGGATTATTTCTTTCACTTCCGCAGTCTGTTGACCTCACTCTTCCCTTGAATAAGTGAGCCTGTGGTGGTGCCAGCATTCATGGTTTTCCACAACCTAAGTTATACAGAGAACCACAGCTATTTTCAGTAGAATTGGACCCCAGCTGAGTAGCATTCTGCCCTTATTGCTTTTTTCCCAAAAGTGCAGAAATACAAAATGACCTGAAATTAAACATTAACAACAAATGCACTTCTTCAATTCTCTTTTTTGTCCCACAATCATATTAAAGATAACAACAACAGCCATACATTATTTCTCTCCTCATTCAAGACTCACTTAAGCAAAACATTTACTATCTGGATGATTAACTGATCATTTTGGGTTCTCTGATGGCAATTAAAGTTAACATTCTGGTAATTATTTCTTTTGAAAGGAAGTGGGGCTACCTTTTTAGATGAGGATCTCAACAACAATCAAAAACAAATAAACACACACACACACACACACAAACCAAAAACACCCTGGACTGATTAAATTAAAACAAAGGGAAATTAGCGTCACATTCCTTCTAGATTCAATTACAGTTTTCGAAATGATGAATGTTATCCATGAATGTTTTAAGGTTCACTTTAATGCATATTTTATCAACTTTGAATGCATCACAAATTTCTCTTTTAATTTAGCCTTTTAAAAATAGTAAAATTAAAACTGTCTTGCCCAGATTTAATGGGATATTAGTTCTCTCCTCACATATTCTGTCTGGCCTTGTGAGAGCGGCCCATTGTGCTTAAGCACAACAGTTTCTTTGCAGTGCTGAATCTTAGACACTGAAGACAGCCTCTCTTCAATGGGGTTACTACAGGGGAAAAAAGAAAATTTCAGTGCCTCATAGAAGGGACAATCTAATCCTCTTTGCTGGTACATCTGCTGTGGCAGTTTTGCTCTGCAAATCAAAAGGCACCCCATTAATTAGAGTTCCCTTTCCTTTCATTTTATTCATCTTGTGAAATGTGACCAGTATTCACCAAAAAAAAAAAAAAAAAAAAAAAAATGTTTCGGGCCACTTTAGTCACAAATATCTACCCGAAGGGTGTGCGCTTTGATTTGTTGTCTGATTTCCGCTTACTGTTCTTCCTCTATTTTTTTTTTTTAGAAGAAGGAGCCCTTCTCCTTTGCCAGAGTGCAATACATTCAGAGAGCTTTACAAAACAAAGCTTTCAGCTCTGAGTCAGCAACAAACTCATCTTTGTTCATGTGGTTCTATTAAGGAAAGAAGGCCAATTTTATGCAGGTTTCTATGGCTGGCTTCACAAAGGCATCTCTCTGTGTGCAGGCTCTCTGGCAGGAACAGGCGACTCTGAGATCATCATTTTCAGCAATCACCAGCTGCAATGAAGATCTGAGAAAGAAAATCATAAACTGGTTTATATAGTGATTTTCCTGAGGAAACTGAAATATAGAGACTCACTGGTAGGCAATTAATAAAGGCAGCTCATTGGTTGTATTCACATGTACAGCCCAAGGTTTTCTCTACATTTTCCTTTACCTATAAACACATTTTGATAGAATATTCATGTTATTTGTCTTGAGGAGGAGGCAAAGCTCATTTGCATTTCCCTGGGTTTCCCTGGAAATTCCCAGGAATTCTTGTCCTTCGTTTGATGGTGTTTTACTGTGTTTGGGATTACATTAAACTATAATCTCACAGTGTGAGTCCAGGTATTTGGCATTTGTTTAATGATATAGTTAGGGCATTGTAAGATACCCATTTGGCCCATAGGGAGATGTTTTAAGACTTCGGGGATATATCAAAAACATCAAGAATAAACAAAATAGTTCCAAATTCCTGATGCAAGCACTTTAAAAAACACCAAAAACATGACCTATTTGTCATGAAGTGTAACAGAATGAAGTTTGGAGACATGGACTAGTATAGCACAATCTGTGCTAGTGTTTTTTTAAGAGTATTCCAAGATAGGTTCATTCATACTTTGATTTAAAAGAAAATTTCCACATTTGGGTAGGAAATGCTAGTCATAACAAAATGAAACTTATTTTAACTGCAGGAACTTCCAGAACCCGAAATATACTAACGTTCATAGCCATTTTCTAAAACGATTCCGTCTAATTCCCCTACTGCCAAAGGAGCATCTGCTTGGACTAGCGTCCCAAGGATCACACTTTAGGGAAATGCTGACCAAAGCCAATGGGGGACTGGCACCTGAAGACATCAAAAGCTCAGGCTATCATGGACTGTGATGATGTTTGCTAGAGAAACTCCAGACATATTTGTTTCAATATGGATATATAAAATATTTATAGTTAGATGCTGAGACTAGCTAGTCAGAAATCAATTACAATGTAAAATGAGAGAGCACTGTACCTTTCCTGCTGGCCCTGATCCCAAATGTGGACTATCTTTTTACAGGTAAAGCCTTAGGAGATCTCGGTCGGTTTATGGATATGTAGGTTTTATGATTCTCATTTCAGAGGCTTTGCAGCATAGAGGAAGAGCAATAGCGGAATTTAAATTAGAAAACTGAGCTGCTTAAGTACATGGAAACCTAGCAGTTACCATGCTGCTCCTTCTTGATTCACGGCTACCAATTAGAGATGCCAGATAATATATTTTTGCCATATGTTAAGTGTGATGTATTCTTTGTTGTTATATAAGATCTGCTAGCAAATACTTCTGTTTCTCTTTTTTATTACTTCAAACAAGAAATATTTGTTGAGTGCCTACTGTGTGCCAGGTACAGTATAAATAAGACAGAACTAGTCCCTGCTCTCTTGGAACTTACTGACTAGAGGAGAGAAAGAACTAATTTCTAGTCATGTAGATGATTTATTCCTTTTATAAAAGGGACTGCTGTACATTTAGAACTGACTGGGTGTGGCAGAAATTACTGATATTTTGAAAGATTACTGCATTAGATTCATCCTGAAACTTGCCTAGCCCAGGAGTGTCTGTCTTCTTCACAGGCATTAGGCTGATACTTTGCTGTTGCAAATATCTCACATTTGCGATGACTGTACTTTGGGATAGAAATTCATGAGGGGCAAGGATATGTCCTTGTAATTATTTGTCTGGAATTCCTGAGCAACTCTTTCTGTTTTTCAGTGACTGATGAGACACAGTTCAGATGAGATACAATCAGTGTGCTGATTGTTGCACAAAAACCAGGGTGATTTCTCCTTTGGAATCCTTGGTACAAGTCTAAACTTATCTGGAGTTAGGAAATAAATCCTAAAGGCACATACCTCAGTACCTGATATACTACAGCACATAAAGGATCTTTCTGCACTCTTGAAGCAAGCTGGGGCTTGGTTTAAGGGTGTTTTTCTTATGAAAGAGGGAATTGTGGAACACGGCAGTGAGAGGGAAGCTGTGATAAAATGGTTCTAATACTCACAAAAGTTATAATACAATTTTTAAAAAAAAAAACAATTATAATCTAAGCTTCTTGCTTCTCAGTTGGCCCTTGGTCTTTGGTCTTTCCCTTTCTCTTTCTACCTCCAGCTCCACCCTATAATTTGAGTGATTATATGTTTGTATGGACATGCCAGACCACTACATCCTAGCTCCATTCTCATTCCTACTTGGCTCTGGGGTGTGTACATCTGAAGTGAAGCCCTCCCCTAGAGAGAGGAATCAAATGGAAGAAGAGACTGCAGCCCTCAAAGTAGGCTTGTAAGCAGCTGGACAGAGAATTCTGAGTCCTTGGAGAACAAAGGCATGTTCTATAAGTGGGCTTTGACTCTAGCTGTATATATTCCCTAGACCTGTAGACTTCCCATCTGGTGGTGAACTGGGTGAGGGTAAGAGACTGCTAGTATAGTTGGACAGAAGCTAACACAGGGCCCTCTAAAGCATGTAGTCCAAGCCTGGTTCTCAGGATGATGCCAGCTGGCCTTGTAGGCCTGGGTAAGGATTTGCTTTTTCAATTAACAGAGATGGGAAGTCATTGAAATGTTTTGATTTGCATTTCCAGAATCTCACTCTGGCTGCTATATGGAGAGTATACTGGAGAAGAACAAGAATGGAAGGAGGGAGCCAAGTTCAGAGGTGATTGTAGAGTTTTAGATAAGAGATGAACACCTTTGTGGGTTGCTGTGAACATCCATTAGTTACTGATAAACAAATGCCTTCACACTCTATGTTAGTCATGTCATGGTTCCCTAGTGGGGCAGAACTAATAGGATGGAGATATATATATATATATATATATATATATATATATGTATATGTGTGTGTATATATATGTATATGTGTATATATATGTATATGTGTATATATATGTATATGTGTATATATGTATATGTGTATATGTATATATGTGTGTGTGTGTGTGTGTGTGTGTGTATATATATATATATATATATATATATATATGGGGGTTTATTAAGTAGTATTAACTCACATGATCACAAGGTCTCACAATAGGCTATCTGTAAGCTGAAGATCAAGGAAGCCAGTCCAAGTCCTAAAGCTGAAGAACTTGGAGTCCAATGTTCCAGGGCAGGAAGCATCCAGCATGGGAGAAAGTTGCAGGCTGGGAGGCTAAGCCAGTCTAGCCCTTTCTTGTTTTTCTGCCTGCTTTATATTCTGGCTGTTCTGGCAGCTGATTAGATGGTGCCCACTCAGATTAAGGGTGGGTCTGCCTTTCCAAGCCCACTGACTCAAATGTTAATCTCCTTTGGCAACACTCTCGCAGACAAACCCAGGAACAATACTTTGTATCCTTCAATCCAATCAAGTTGACACTCAGTATTAACCGTCACAAGTCCACCCCTTGTTAGCTTGAACCCATACACATCTCCTGAGATCATAATCTTCAGATAAAGACAATAATAAGGTCATAATTATGCCTAACGTAATACAACTATCCTTTGTACAACCAGAAATGCACCAATCCCCAACACAAATGCTATTACATAATATGAAGTCAATAAATTTTATGCCACATGATAAAGGAAAAAGGAAATAAAAATGAAGATATTTTCTTAGTACAAGTGCATATATGCATAAACATGTTTTTAACAAAAGGAGGAGGAAATACTCATGACAATTACAGTCCTCGTCTGCAGCTGGTCACGTGGTCATACTTGGTATTAATGACCACCTTTTTCTACTACCCATTCTGTATTCCCTTTGCCTTCAGCAAACACCTCAGCAGGTCGTGGTTTTTTTTCCCGGTGGAGTGACTCAAACCTTCATTCTTGAAGGGTCTGGGCACCATTCCACCATTCTATCAGTCCAGCTGCTTCAGGATGATGGGGAAAATACTCTTAAAAGCTCTTAGGGAATCTAGAAAACAATTTCATCTGCAGAAGCAGGTCTAAGTGAGAACTAAAAGCTTCTACTTTCACATTACTTACCATCTACGTTTAATGTAGCTTTATTATTCACTGTCTTCACTAACATAATTTTATTATTTCACCAGTTTTATTAATATAACTCTATTATTTTAGAAAACTCTTGCCCAGGAAGATAGTGTTTGTAAATAACTTTATCATTTGCTCCAGGAACTTCCTGGCAATTTTTTTTTAAATGAACATTAGGCTTAATTCTTCAAGCCTTTTTGAAACCCTCTTCTAGAAAATATCTTGGTTCATCCATGTCCCTGCAAAGCACATGAACTCATTCTTTTTTATGGTCACAAACTAACACAGGAACAGAAAACCAAACACTGCATGTTCTCACTCATAAGTGGGAGTTGAACAATGAGAACACATTGACACAGGGAGGGGAACATCACACACTGGGTCCTGTCGGGGGTTGGGGGTAAGGGGAGGGAGAACATTAGGACAAATACCTAATGGATGCGGGTCTTAAAACCTAGATGATGGGTTGATAGGTGCAGCAAACCACCATGGCACATGTATACCTATGTAACAAACCTGCCCGTTCTGCACATGTATCCCAGAACTTAAAGTAAAATAAAATAAAATTTTTTTAAAAAGAAAATATCTTGCTGTGTTCACCAGTTCTAATCTTCAGATCATGAGACATACACAATTTCAATCAAATACTTTACATTAAGACCATCTTAAACCAGTCTCAAGATCTCATAAACCTTCCAACTTTGCTGGAACACTAAAAGATTAACAGACACTACCAGGTAGTGTTCTTTTTTTCTTTTTAACTTTGTGAGGAATAAACTAAGCTTTACCTCATCATCGGGTTCTTTTGGTGATATTTATGGTGAACTAGCGTTTAACAATCTTGGAGGCCCACTGAGATCTTATCAAGACCTCACATTACTGCAGCCCAAGACCCTCAGTCTGAAAATACTTCATTCCTCTGAGGCCTCTTGAGATTTCATCTTGCACTGGGGCCCTGTATTTTTTTTTTTTTTTCGTTTCCTTTGGCTCTCAGAATTTTTTACTTTATTTCATTTTCTAAGAATGAACAGTCTTTTTTTTTTTTTTTTTTTTTTGAGATGGAGTCTCGCTCTGCCACCCAGGCTGGAGTGCAGTGGTGCAATCTCGGCTCACTGCCAGCTTCGCCTCCTGGGTTCACGTCATTCTCCTGCCTCAGCCTCCTGAGTAGCTGGGACTACAGGTGCCCGCCACCATGCCTGGCTAATTTTTTTGAATTTTTAGTAGAGACAGGGTTTCACCGTGTTGGCCAGGATGGTCTTGATCTCCTGACCTCGTGATCCGCCCGCCTTGGCCTCCCAAAGTGCTGGGATTACAGGCGTGAGCCACTGTGCCTGGCTAAGAGTGATAAGTCTTTTAAAGTAACACTTTCATTATCTAACCATATTTGAAAACTTTCTATTCTTGCTGGAAATCTGCCCTATGACTAGTAAGACAAAATTTGCCTCTGTGCTTACCATTTTTGGTATGTGTCTGTAAATGTCAAGTGCATGGGGAAGAGGACAGGTGTAGATCCCATACATCTGTTCCTGAAGCAGCACTGCAGACTGAGAACTTTAAAGGGTTTATATTCATGCTGGCTTCCCTTGGATGAAATTTGCTTTAGGTGATAGGTCACTTAGTAAAACCTCATGGGAAATTTCCTTAGTCTTGTTTTGTCTGGTTCCAGAAGACATCTCTTTTAAATCTTTCTACCTTCTGTAAAATTTATATCAGTCATGTTTGTAATTGGAGATTCTCTGGTCCTCAGGCTGGGGCCCCAAGACACAAGGTATACAAGCAATATTTACAACCATCTATTACCACACTCTTATGAGTTCACTTCTGTCTAAGCCTCTCTTTACTCCCCTCTTGGCCAGATTCCTGCTTCTTGCATTTATCTATGTTATCACTCAAATTTAGGTAATTTCCTTCATAAATGGCACTGATTTCACCAAGGATAACTTAGAATTACAGAAGTCACTTCATGAATTTTTTTAAAGAAATCGAAGATAATTTTTATTGCAGATATTAAATGCTAAGAAATGTAATTATACTGCATTTTAAATTCTACAACAATGATGTGAATTTGGCACTTTTATTGTTGTAAGAGCCCTTAACATGAAGTCTTACATTTTTAAGTGTATATAACACAGTATTATTAACAGACATATAGACCAATGGGACAGAATAGAGCACAGAAATAAATTCACGCATATACGGTCAACTGATATTCAACAAGAGTGCCAAGAATACACAATGGAGAAAGAATAGTCTCTTTAACAAATGGTATGAGAAAACTAGACATACACATGCAAAAGAGTGAAATTGAAATCTTATCATAAATAAAACTAAACTCAAAATGGATTAAAGATGTCAATGAAAACTGAAACTATAAAACTCCTAGAAGAAAACATAGGGAAAAATCATGACAGTATTCATGGCAAGGATTTCTTAGACAAGACACCAAAAGCACAGACACCAAAAGCAAAAATAAAGTGTGACTACATCAAACTAAAAACATGCACAGCAAGGAAACAATCAAAACAGTGAAAAGGCAAGTTACAGAATAGGAAAAAATATTTGCAAACTATATATCTGATAAGGGGCTAATATTCAAATTATAAAATGGACTCCTACAACTCCTATAACTCAATAGCAAAGAAGTAAATAACCATATTAAAAAATACGCAAAGGACTGGAATACACATTTTTCCAAAGAAGACAGACAAATGGCCAACAGATAGGAAAAGTGAAATTTTGATATGATCAAAGTTGTTCATTTTGTTCCTTAGAACAAAAAAGGAAGAAATCCCAAATACCCAATTATGTGCATTTTTGATTGGTATAAAAATTCATCCAGAAGAAATTCAGATTCCCAAATTGCTTTCATAAGTGATTAATTGGCCAAGGTAAAAGAGAACTGTAAACAACTTTAAATTATCTCTCACGTATTTCCCTCTAAATCACAAGTCACAACTCAAAGTCTTGATCCAACCACTTCTCTTCTTCCATCTTATGTTTCTCAATTTCTCTCTTACTCTATTTCTCCCTCCAATCTGTTCTCTTTCCCTTCCTGTCAGCCAGGAATCATCTTGCCCAAATTCAGTTGCTTCTTAAAATTAAACTGATCTCAGAATAGGAAAATCCCTTGAGGCTGATTTTAAAATGTGGTCTCCCTTTGAATTGACAGTCATAGTCAAAGACTTTCCAAAATCCATATAGGATTGAAAAAATTTGCAGAGAAATTTAGAATTGTTGTAGGAATGTGTAATTCAGGGGTCCCAAATTTATATTGATTAGATCATATGATAGTGAGAGCATTAGATGCAAACGATTGGATGGAAAAGGCAGAATGGGAAAATCCTGAGGGTATCTTAAAACACCTCAAATTTTATAGGAAACCAAGGGGATTTGCAGGGATTTACAGATGTTAGACAAAGTCTTTGGAGGTTATCTCTAAAACCTTGCCAATGAAAATGAAGAGACTCTAACCGAGTTCTGCAAGCAAAGGAAGGATGAGTTCAGAAACTTTAAGAGATGGACTCTTAAGCACTCTTAGCATTCAAGAGTAATTCTTCAAACAGGTGTAATTTGATGTCTCTCTCCACTTTTTATAAATGGCCTGTCCAAAAATGATAGACTGGATTAAGAAAATGTGGCATATATACACCATGGAATACTATGCAGCCATAAAAAATGATGAGTTCATGTCCTTTGTAGGGACATGGATGAAGCTGGAAACCATCATTCTCAGCAAACTATCGAAAGGACAAGAAACCAAACACCGCATGTTCTCACTCATAGGTGGGAATTGAACAATGAGAACACATGGACACAGGAAGGGGAACATCACACACTGGGGCCTATTGTGGGGTGGGGGGAGTGGGGAGGGATAGCATTAGGAGATATACCTAATGTAAATGACCGAGTTCATGAGTGCAGCACACCAACATGGCACATGTATACATATGTAACTAACCTGCACGTTGTGCACATGTACCCTAAGACTACAAGTATAATAATAAAAAAAAAGAATGAAATAAGGGATTTGATATATGAGCAAAAACTGGAGTCGAAAATCGTCCCACTGTCATATATCCAGTATCTGAATATTTTGAAAAAAATCTTTGAACATAAATAAAATAAGGATCAAAATAAATTTATGGCATTACAAATGAAGAACTAGACGTTCCTATCTCAGTCATTAAACCCTGCAGGAGGGAGTTTCATGACAAAGATATTTAAAAAGATAAAGTAAAACAGGTAGGTACCTTCAGTCTTTTTGAAAAATTATTTTTAAATTAAATTGTATTTATTTACTTTTATTTTGTTAGAGACAGTGTCTTACTCTGTATCCCAGGCTGGAGTGCAGTGGTGCAATCATAATTCACTGCAGCCTCCAACTCCTGGGCTCAAGTGATTCTTCCATTTCAGCCTCCCGAGTAGCTATACTCTTACTCTTATAAGAAGAAAATTTCTTTACACATTATAAGAGAGGCTTAAATTTTTTTATTAATATGGGCATATGGTAAGTGGAATAATACTCCCCTAAAGATGTCCACACCTTGATCCCTGGAACTTGCAAATATGTTATCTTACATGGAAAAGAGGGACTTCACAGATTATAGGGTAAAGACCTTGAGATGTAGAGATTATCCTGGATTATCTGGGTGAGTTTGACATAATCCCATAAACTTTATAGACAGAACTTTCTCTGGCTGGAAACAGAGGAGAGATAACACAGAAAAGAAGTTCAAAGAAATTCAAAGGTTGAAGATTCAGCCTTCCTTACTGGCTCTGATGATAGAGGAAGGAGGTCGCAAGCCAAGAAGTACTGGTGGCTTCTGGAAGCTTGAGAATGACCTAAAGCTCACAGCCAGCAAGAAAATTGGAGCCACACTCCCACAACCACACAGAACTGAATTCTAAAAACAACCCACATGAGCTTGGAAGCAGATTTACTCTCAGAGCTTCCAGAAAAGAACGTAGCCCTGACAACTGGTTGATTTTAACCTTATGAAATTGAGAACACATAAGCAGCTGGGTTGCACTTGGCCTGGACTTCTAACAAAACTGTGAGATAATAAATGGATGCTGTTTTAAGCCTTTAAGTTTGTGGTGCTTTGTTATAGTAGCAATAGAAAGTGTATACAGGGTACTAAAGTATCAACCCTAAATCCTACTACTGGTATACAGCCCTTCTGTCAGAGTCAACAAACTACCTGATGGGTAGATATCTTTAATAACCTTCAGATGTTTACCATGTCCCAGCTCATGGCTGTCCCTCTTGGACCTTTAACCAAGGAACATGCTTTCCTCTGTCATGACAAAACCCCTACTGATTTGATAGGGATGAATTTAACGTACAAATGAAACTGCAAGATTAAAGGTTCTTCTGAAGGTTTCTTCCCAGAAATCCCTGATGACTTGACTATTTCCTCTGTTAGTAAAAGAGTTATAGCCAATTTGGACATGGGTACACTTCTTTCTAATCAAGCTCAAATGGAATATATTGAGGAGATCAAAAAAGAGAGAGAGAGAGAGAGAGAAAGGACTCATCATACTCTCTATCAGTTCTTACAACACCCACATCCTTTCAGTAAAAAAATCTTTGTCAGGGGGGCATATAGGTCATTGAAGACCTCAGGTTCATAAATAGAATAGAGATTCTCCACTTTCCTGTTGTACCAACCCCAAATGCTATTTTGTCTTTGGTGCCTCCTGAGCCTACATATTTTATAATTGTAGCCCTGTGTTTCACTTTCTTTCTTAAGATAAACACAGTCAACACTTGTTTGCTTTTTTCCTAAGAAAATTAGCACAACAGCTAGATTGTTATTCCCAAGAAGTTGAAGGAGGCACTTTCCAACTTTTGCAAGGCCTCAGCCAGAATATGAATGACATTAATTTTTTTCTATGAGTCTACTCCTACCTTATATGTGGATGATTTTTGTTATATTATAAAGATGAGGTGAGCTCTAAGATGGATTTCATCTATCTACTTACTGTTTTAGCTTAAGAAGGGCACAGGTTTCCAAAGAAGAGTTTTACCTTTGTAGAAATAATGTCCAGTCCTCGGACATGACTTACCTCAACGAGATAAATTCGTTATTCATGATAGACCACAAGCAGTTCAAAAGTTTCCCGGGTCAGTAGTTAAGAAACAAGTAAAACGATTCCTGAATTTGCTACTCCTAGCAATGTGTTTTCAACTTTTCTGAAATTGCCAAGCTTCTATATGATTTAACTAAGTCCTAAGTAACTGGATCTAAACATGAGCAGACTTTTTGAGGATTAACTCCTTAATGGCCTCCCACCCTGGAATATCTAATTTTCATAAAACTTTATACTTATTTATTCATGAAAGATATAGACAAGCCCCTGGTGTTCTGATTCAACTTCACAGAAAATATCAAACCAATAGTCTCTTTCCTGACACAGTGGCAAAAGCCTACCCACTGAATCTACCATTACTTTCAATGTCAAAAACCGCAACTACTTTTGCACCAAACTAATATATTAAAAGTAGAAACTCATTCAAAATTGGGTAACATGGAGGCTTAAGGGAATGCCCTGAGTGATCACTATGTCAGACAAGCAGGATTCTGAAGCTCCCTAACCCTCCTGAGATTAAATGTTTGGAGAGGCCCAAAGTCAAATATTGGCTGCACAGTTAGAAGTACTGGGAGATATATGGCTATAAATTTTCTGAGGATATCTTGATAATCTTAGGGTATCTGCCTCATAGCACCAGAGGACTTAAAGTGGAAACTTGGAAAAATTTTACAGGAAATTATCTACAACAGCAAAGATAAATTAGCCACTGTACTTAATCAACATTAATGGGGCAAGTTTACGAAATTGCTGAGGATATGTTTGGTTCAGGTTTTATCTGTCACTAGAATAATGTTAATAAAAATATAAAGGTTGGGACATGGACAAAGACTGAAACTACATGATCCCTTTGTTTATCTCTAAATGGATTTTATAAAACTACCCTACTTGATCATTTAATATGTCTGGGTCATTCAGATAGTTCTCAGGATTTCTGAAACATTTTCTTACTGAAGAGCTAGGCTCTAATCGTGTTTTTAAAATGACTTAATTTTGTGTACCCAACCTGGGGAACTCCTGGGAAATCCAATCTATCACTTCAGTAACAAAAGTACCCATTTTACTGAGACTATCTTTTAAAAGCTTTGCAAATCCCTGCCACTTACTCAAAAACTTTGCTGTCAACAAAGTTCCAATCTCCATGAAAGGAAGAAAGAATGAACAGAACTCTAAAACTCAAATTAGCAAAACTCTCAGAAGCTCTCAAACTTCTAAGGCCTAAGGTATTGTCATTGAGATCAAATCCTTCTAAGATTCATTGACTCCTCTCCTATGAGTTAGTAACAGGTTGATCCCTGTTTCATGAAATATCATCTGCAGTTCTGGACTCCACCTATTAAAAGCAGATATGGCTAAATATTGCAGGTAATTCATGGAACACATCCAGTCTTCTTATCAACAAGTTTAACCAGGCTTTTCTCAACATTCTTCCAAGCAATCCTTGTATGACCTAAAAACTTTTAGAAATAACCCAATTGGATACTGTTCACTACTAGGAGAGTCGTATAACTCCATGAAGTTAGTCCCTGTATGTATGACTCTCAAAAACCTTGCCTGGATCACTGGAAGATGGCCCTTACCACAGATCTCCAGCTGAGAATTCTTGAGATCCCTCCAGAAACAGTCAATTTTCAGAAGAGATAACTTCCATTAAAATCTTTGGACTAAAGATGACAAAAGATTAGATAAGATATAGCCAGCTTCTACTGAGGATCCACGGGAAAAGACTATGGATTATCATGCTTTATAATGCATTATTTTGTTCTTTATTTTTCTAGATATTTTATTTCCTTGCTTGCTTTTTGCTTAAGGTTACCGTTACATTACCAGTAAGGCCCCTATCCCTAATTTTACTATTCACATGTCTAGTCATTCCAATGTATGAGTTCTACAACTGGCTACAATTTACTAGTAAGCTAAAGTACACGTTTAAAGTAACAGAAAGCCCACTTTCCGTAGGGAGCCTCATGGCTTTCCTTGGTACTAAATCGTTATAATGAATCCTTTGTTTTCCTGGATAACTATATTCAACTATTAGCTAACTTTATAGATTAAAAAAACAGTATTACAACAGGCCAGACAACAAGAAATCTAAAACTCCATATCACATTGTATTTTAAAAGGAGGTTTCCGTTTCCGCAGAAGCAACAAGTGGAGATCCTCTGGTGAAGATGAATGGCTTTTGAAACTGAGCTTACACAAAAATAGAATTTAAAAGTAAACTAGGGTACAGATGGTATATATTTGGAGGTTAATACTTTCAGAGATCTTCCAAATAAACACACTGATTTTTCTTTTGCCTTAGTTCTACTTAAGGATCTCTGTACTGCAAACTTCACTGCCTGGTACTGGACCATTCTTGACAAGTGGTGCTAAAATATTACAACACTATTTGTCAATCTTTTGGGGCTAGATTGTCCAAGAATAGGTAATTGACTGGCTCCCAATGACTGGTATTTGATACATGTACAAAACCCTACTGGTTTCTTCCTGTCAACTGGACAGGAATTTGTTATATTAATAATCTGATCCCTATTTTCAGGGTATTCTCTGAAACATCCAGGATCCATTTTGACCTATCACTTTGCTCTTTCAGAAAAAAATCACCATGTGCTTTAAAAATCGGCCTGAAAAGCAGGAATAATCCTGAATACTATATTTCCTAGAAGAGCAGCAGAACAGAAAGTGTCACCAAGGGGAAGTGCCACTTGAGAAGTTCATGAAATTGGACTGGTGCTCATTTTGAATAGATATAATATTGGCCTCTTGAGAGTAAGTAGATGCTGTTTTGGGGAAAGAGTGTTAGGCTTACATCTCTGCAGATCTCTTTGTTGTCTTTAATCTTACTAATCTTACATTTGAGAAGGAAATTTGAGTATTTATTCTTTTTTAAATTGGAGTATAACTTATTTATAGTAAAGTGCACAAATCTTTAGTGCAATGAATTTTTGTGCAGACACCCCCCACCTCCCCCAGACAGACACACACACACATACAGAGAAAGAAAGAAAGAGAGACAGAGAGAGACACAGACAGAGAGACCCCAACGTATCCACTATCCAGATCAAGATAAAGAACATTTTCAGCACTGTATCAGTTTCCTAAGGCCCCCAACCAGTTAGTAATTCCACAAATGTAACCACTATTTTGTCCTCTATCAAAATAGATTAGTTTTGCCTGTTTTGAATTTCATATAAATGGATTTACACAGTATACATTACTTTATGTTTGAGTTTTACTCAACACATCTGTGAGATTCGTCAACGTGTTCAACAGTAGCCTATACTTATTCACTTCTATGTAAAAGCAAAGTAGTATTGACTGTATATTTTGTATCCTAATATATATTCCTATTTAAATACACTACAATGTTTATCCATTCTCTTCTTAATGGGCATTTGATTGATGCCAATATTAAGCTATTGTGAATAAAGCTTCCGTGACCACCCCTGTGTGTATCTTTTGCTAGACATGAGTGCTCATTTCTGCTGCAGTAGGTCAGTTGCCAAGTCATAGAGTAGGCACACACTTAGCTATGTAAACACTGACAGAAAGTTCTCCAAAATGGTTGTACATTTTATAGTCCCACCAGCAATGGATAAAACTTCATTTTTCCACATCTGAGCCAACAGTTGGTATTGCTTCTCCTTTTGTTTTTAGCCAAGTTGATGGGATAGATATTATTCCATCTTGATTTTAACTTGGACTTTTCTGATTACTATTAATATTGAGCTCCTTTTTATATGTTTATACAAACCTGCATCAATACAAACTATAAATAAAAAATCTATAACAAAAAACTAATAATGATCAGGCAAAAGCCATTTTTAACAAAAAACAAATTTAATAATACAGAATTAGAGAGAAAGGAATAGCAGCATGTGAATGCTGTAATTAAAGGCTATACTGATGATACACTAACAATAATATATTATTCTACTAGAAAATTTCAAGAATCTCAACTATCTGAAGGGATGTGCCACTAATAATTTTACAACATTGTCAAGCCAGTCTTCTTAACAGAATGCTGCATTAAGGCCTTTAGAAAATGTTTCTAACAGGGTAATCTTGATTTGTGAGTGGAAAATATTAATAAGCCTTAATAACTCAATAGGCCTCAAAATGGTGAAGAGATCCTTCATGTCAGTCCTTGGATCATACTTGAAAGATGCTGATCTAAGGATTGGCTCCCAAAAGGAAAACCACTGCAATATTTTCTCAAAGGAAAGATTTATTAATATGTTTCAATATCTATACAAATATTCCCTTTGGAAAAAATATCCCAAGTTACCCAATAGTAATATATGTTTAGAACATATTAGCTATTTGTATCCCATATACACTACTAAGAATGACACAGTTTTATATTCGAGGGGTTTATTAAAAACATGGTACAAAGAAAATAATAATAATAAGTATACTGTCAGCTACTATGCACTAGTTCTTACTGTCTAACAGATCCTTGGAAGGACTTGTTCATTGAGAAATACACAAGAATATACCTGCCAAAGTGAGTGTTATTCTCCTGAGAGGCTAGTTTTTCCCAAAGTTTAGCTGCTAAATTATTAACAATATATTTCCATAAAAAAATTTTTTTACTCATTAAACTGTTTTCTTAATAGTGCTGCAAGCCTTATAGCTTGTCATTTAACAAAGACAGTTGGAGATTATTTTAAATTTGCTTTAAAATTGCTAAAATTGAGGCAAACTGAAATTTTGCTTAAAAGAAAAATAAGCTCAACAACCTTTTAAATAAGCCATATCAAATTACTCAAACTTTCTTAATGAGCTTCAATAGAGTTGTCTAAAGTGAATTGCAATACTTTCTTTCAGGAGCCAGAAATAGACACATGTGAGCCAAACTCCTAATTTCAGGGTCTGTCCTGGCTAGTGTTCCTAAAGCCAGATATAAATATCAAATCAAAATCTATTTCCATTATCCCCATGAGATAATCCCTGACAGCAGCCTAGCATTACTATCTGTCGCTCCCTGAAGACCCAGTATCTCCCAATGAATAATGAGCTTAAATTAGTTATTTATAATCAGAACATAAACTTTTGATGTAACCCATTTTGTAAAATTGTTGGTACTAGAGAAAGGCAATGTAGGTTTGGGCTAAACTGGGCTATCTGACAAGGTGCCCTACAGTTCTCTAGACGGAAGACATAAGGGATTTTTGTTTTGTTTTACTTATACAGTCTGAAATATCTTTAGAAAATACTTCTTTTTGGCTTCGACAGATGTCCAGCTGGTCATGACTGGCTCCACAGGAGCTCCGGGGAGCAGGAGGACCTTTCCAAGAACTTAGCTCCTTCAGCTTTCTTAGTCCTGTGGGGATGTAGCCCTGAATATGATGCTGATGATGGACATAGAGAATCTCAAGGAAATAAAGAAGTCAAACAAAGAGTTCATATATTTGGATGCTAGCTTGGAAGATACAGGCAGAAAATGAGAGAGTACAAAATGTGGGCTCTATGGGTGTTACATCAACCTCCTCTGTACAGTGAGGCTGAAGAGAGAGCAGTGGCAGCTTTACAGAGACATGTATCCAATAGCCCTGGATACCATGCTCTGCATACTAAATATTGGCTTGTTGGACAAAGATGATAATCATATCAAGGAAACCCAGAAAAGATCAGAAGCATAGTAAAAGAAGGCCAAGACTGGGACAGCAGAAACCATCTAAAGAGTATTATGGTTCTATTCATTTGTTTGTTTTAACTATACAGAAGTAAATTTACCACGTAGCTTATGAATTGAAGCTTCAAGGTGCCTCACCTGGTGAGTCCTGAGAATTTAGAGGAGTAATTGTGAGTTTTATGTGGACTGCAGAGGCCAGGATACCATTAGGAAACATTTCTCTATTGGTATTTCCAGTTAATGGCCCAAGAGATTGCCAAAGAAAAGGACCTGAATTTGTAGTACTTTGTGATTTATTTCCTCATTCTAAACAAATATCCATTTTTGTAACTGATTTTTGTCTCCGTATTTTTGTATTTCTTTGTAGAGTCTTCTAATATTGTGTAAGCTTCAAATGCAACAAAACTAGGTTCAGCCCTTGATTCTGTGTATTGTTCACAATTTCATACAGCTGAACTCTTTATTGAGGTTTTAAACATATACATCCCGAGAACATATAGTCTATTATGTAATATTTGCTTATCATATTATAGTGATTACCTTACAAAGACCACTTTCAGAGACAAGGTCATTAATCAGAAGAGACTGTCCAACATGAGACCACCTTTTAATAGTTTTCATTGCACAAATGCTGTTAATCAGTCTTTTTCCAATAAATACATAGCTATTGAGAGATGAAAAATGACCTGTTCATTATATATATTATGTGGGAGGCACTACACTAAAAGGCAGCAGCTGGAGCCATCCAGGTCATTGACATTGAGCTAAGTGAAGACTTCGGGGTGGATGTGAAATTCATAGGTCCCTGGCTCTCCAGTTTATTGATGCTGGGAGACCACATGGCAAAGCAGGTAAAGAAAACAACATGAGGAAAACCACTAGATCTGTACCAATAAACTATGAAAAAAAAGAGTTCAGAAACTTACCAGAGTAATTAATTTGTAACAAGATACACTGAGGAATTGTAATATTTTTATTTTTATGAACATTTTTAGAACTTTAGGGATGTTTCCCATAAAAATTAGTTGGAATTTTAATTATGGAAATAGCTCAATTATATAAAACAAATACTGCATTCTTGCTTTCAGTTTAAAGTATTTCTTTTCTTTTAGAAGTTAAGAAAACTGCACTGATGTGTTTCCAGAGAACTTTATGATATAAGGTTAGAGAGTAGATAAGGTTTCAGTCTGCCTTTGAGGATGAAACCATTGATATTTATATACTTGATATTAGCATAAGGATGATTTTTAGAGTTTTAATTACAATATTACTAAACATGCAGAGTAATTTTTAGTTCTTCTGAAAGCAAGCATTCCATGTCTTTATGTGCTTCCTCATTTTAAAATAATGTAAAATGTATTTCCTTTGGCAGAAGGTGCAGTAAGATGAAAACAATTTCCCTAAGTAGGGAGCTCATTCATTCATGTACTCAGAACCTAGAAGGTACTCAATAAAATGCTCGTTAAATGAATGAATTCTTTCAACTACCATATACTGTCTCCTAGATTTAAAGGGTTCATATTTAAATGACCTAACGTTAATCAAGATTTGAAAAATGGCTGGTGCCTGCCTGTGAATGAGAAAATAATTTTTAAGATGAGTCTTTCAAACTATTGAGCATTTTTAGATTTTAGGAGGGTTTTACAATATCTCTTCTTATTCCTAGTTGCAGGCATAGTGATATTCCCCATCATGTGGCAATGCCCAATAAATGTTCGTTGAATTTAGGGATAAATTGGGACTTTTTATGAGTTCCTCCTTTCATCTGAAGTTATACATACTTTGTTTATGTTTAGGTTGACAATGTATTTGATTAATGACTTGGATTGTCATCAGTATAAAAAAATGACCTTTGATGACTACTAAGCATGAGATCCTCAAGACAAATTAAAAAAAACAGACTACATAAGAAGTAGAGGACATTTTGTCATCTCAGGATGGACATAACCTATAGTCATTATACAGCCAAAGATAGAAATAATAAGCAGGCCAGTAATAAGCATGGCCAGTAAAAAGGACAAAGAAGGAATTTGAGGTTGTGATAAAAGCACATAGAGGAGATGATTAAGATATATGTGGGAGGTGATGGTTTCCTTCATTCAGCTAGAGCAAGGGTATATTAAAGGGTGATGAGATATTTGGTTAGAAAATATGGAGGTTGTGGACCCCATTGATGAAGGACCTCAGACACCAGACTCAAGAATTTACATGAGATGTCACAGTAAAGGGAATGTGAGTCTAGGAAACTGATGTGATGAAAGCAGTGTTTAAAAGATAATCCTGGCAGGTGTGTGCAGGATAAAATGGCAGGCTCAGAAGCTAGAGACTTAGGATATAGCTAGGGTTTGGCCAGCCCTTGGGAGGAGTTTAGGGAGATGAAGAAAGTACAAATACATGAGGTGGAGCAGGGTCAGCATGTAACTGATTGAATACAGGCAGATTTTGGGTGCTAGTTAAGGACTAGGGACGTTTGGCTGGGTTTAAGGCTTGTTTACATGTCAGATGACAGACTCCTAAGGGACATGCCCTCTGAAATAAATTATGGGAAAGAATTAAAAGCTAAGACATAAATTATAAATTTAGGGAATCACCAGCCTAAGTGTGACAGCTGAAACTGAGAGAATGGGTAACCATAGAGAGTATATAGAAAGGGGGGAACAAAATATCAAATAAAACTTTGGTTGGCTTCACACTATGGGTCATAAAGAGGGGAGGAAATGGGAAAGAGTGAAACTTTAGCTGAGGAAATAGGAATATTATGTTTTAAGAAGAGAAGAATGAATTCAAGTAAACAGTGGCCAACTGGGTCAACTGTAGTCAGGGAGACCAAAAGCAAAGTTGGAAATGTGAACGCTTGGGGAGAATTCATTCATCTAGGGGAAGAAGAGAGAGAAGGAATAGTTTTCGTTATTTTTTTCACAAACTTTTAAAAAATGTTTCTTCCTGAAAAATATGAGAGTGGACACTGAACATTTTGAATGCTTTCAAAAAGATTAATGCAAATCTTAATATAAGGGGATTATATGGTGATGTACAGACTTCGTGCTTAACAATATTGCAGCTGAAATCTATGCGTGAAAAAAGTAGATGATTATAATCCTTTGATGCTGAAGACAAACAGTTCAATCCAACTCCCAAATGGAAGAAAGAGATATACCTTTACCTTTCGAGGGGATGAGCCACGTTTTTAGAGAGGAGTTCTTTGCTGGTTGCGGTATTCTTGGTGACTTCATACAGAAGTTGGTGGATATATTTCTGTTCTTTTGCATAGTTTTCAGAGGATTGAAAAGGGAATAGACAAAAAGAATTTAAATTATTTTTTCTAAGCTCCGTCAGACTACATAGGAAAAAGATGTAAAAGCAAGTCAAAAATTGAAGTTGGAAGAAAGTTGTGACATATTCCTGGCTCTGTGACTTTGATGTTTACAAAGATGGTAAAACAAAGATAGATTTGTGTATCAAAAATATGAGTATATATGTATTTGATGACAAATAGTAAGGGATATTTAAAGACATTTTTGCAATATGTGGTAAAACAGGGATCCCTACTAAACTGATGATTTGTAGTCCATTTTCTTACCCAAGCTTGTTGGTAGTTTAAGGTTAACAAGGCTGCAAGTTATTTGCAGTTAACTCTTTGTGGTTCCATTGTCAAATATGTACAAGATGCTGCTCAATATTTATAGAGGTAGCTGGTTTACTAAAGTTTCACCCTGGTAGAGCCAAAATATAACAGAGTTTTCTTTTCTCCAATTGCTCTTTCAACCATATTCTGTTCAATCACTTTTTCCAGGCTTCTTAGAAATATTTTAGGTTGTTTCCGTAACTCTCCATCCACTTCAAGGTATTAAAACATGGATTCCACTCTAAAATGAAAGTTCTGTTACAAGCCCAATCAGCACACTTCAGGTCTTTTTTTCTTGTATTTGCCTAATGGTCTGAGTTTGTACTGTGTAGGTCTGTGTATTGGTTCTGTTCTTTGTTTCTTTTTTCCTAATTCTGTTCCTTTCCTTTCTGGTTTACTTTTCTCCTACACTGGCACCTGGGAAGAGAAATGTGAGAAAGGGCACTTGCATTCCAAGGCTGGCTCTTTCCTGGGATGCAAATGTGAATTTTTAAGGTGTTCTACTCAGGTTCCCACTCTAGGGGACATCCCACATTCTCTTGTTATAATGTTCCTTTTGTTCATCGTAGTGAGACAGCTCAAACGTGGATATACCCTCCTGGCAATTTCCATCTGGGTAAATGGTGGGAGTACAGATTGCTCTAATAATGCTCCCTTGCTGCTATCTTTCCCCAGTTCTGTTTAAACATACACACACACACGCACACACACACACACACACACACACACACACACACACACACACACAGAAGGCAGATCTCCAATCTTGTTGCCCAAGGGGAAGTTTGAGGCAGTCTCTATTTTTTGCAGATGACCCCAAATTCCAAAGAATTTTCTTCACTTGGGTGGTGACTGAAAGGATCAAATCAGCCTCTTTTCCCTTTTGCTCCTCAGGCAAGAGATGGCAATAGCTCCCTGCCAACTGTGGCTAGCTCCCTAAATTCATAATCATCACCTGTTGGCTTCTCTTCGCCCTGTCCGCAGCCTGTGCATTGTTCTTTTAAATTCACATCAATAGCCTGTTACAATGTGTCAGGTGTTTCCTGTCATAACTGAGTGAAATGAATTATAAACATAATATCTACAACTCCATACTATAAATATTTTAAGGTGAAAGTGTGATTTAAACACAGTTGTCTTAAGAAGAATGCATATCCAAATACTGCTAGAGAGAGAAAATCTTTGGAATAAGATAACTTGAATTAAAATATCAGCTCTGACATGCATAAACCTATCTGTAGAGTGAACATATACATGCTGAATTCATGGAGTTGACATGTGATTCAATGAAATATAGGTATCACCTAAACAAATATTAGGTTAAACCATATGAAACTGCCAATAAGTGATCATTTATTTGGCTACAATAATTTTAATTTTGTGTAGCTCAGGCTAATAATGTTATTTGAAAGAGATACATATAAAACATAAGTATAGAGAAACACTGATGTTAATGAAGTAGAACAAATGCAGTGGGCAAACCAACCAAAATAAAGTTGTCTTATCTATATTAACGTCAGACAAAACACAATGAAAACCAGAAAGGATCAATAGAGATAAACAGAGTCCATTAATAATGATCAAATTTTCATTTCACTGGCAATATATCACAATTTAAAATTTGTTGGCAACTAAATATGGTGGCTTCAAAATATAGAAAATGAATAATGAACAAAAATACAAAAATATATTGACAAATCCATAATCATAATAGGGTATTTTAGTATGAATTTCTCAGTGATTAAATAATCAAAGAAAAAAATCACTAAAGAAATCTATTTAAATCTAAGTAGAACAACACAATTAGCAAACAAACTAAGGGATGGATATAGAACATTGCAACCAACAACTGCATGGTGTATCTTGTTTTTTTGAAATGGAGTTTTGCTCTTGTTGCCCAGGCTGGAGTGCAATGGTGCAATCTTGGCTCACTGCAACTTCCGCCTCCCAGGTTCAAGCGATTCTCCTGCCTCAGCCTCCGGAGTAGCTGGGATTGCAGACATGCACCACTACCTCGGCTAATTTTGTATTTTTAGTAGAGACTCTCCATGTTGGTCAGGCTGGTCTTGAACTCCTGACCTCAGGTGATCCGCCCACCTCGGCCTCCCAAACTGCTGGGATTACAGGCGTGAGCCATCATGCCTGGCCTACTGCATGATGTATCTTCTATATTTAAGCACTTATGATGTAAATGGAATAAGCTTAAAAGACAGCAATAGAAATTATCCAATTGCTTCTCAGCCTTTTGTCTAAGATTAAGCATAGAAATTACCCAATTTAAGACACACAGAGAGAAGAAATAAAAAATGAACAGTTGACATATAAAAATGGAAACAACTTAAAAGAATATACAAGTGGTAGAATATAGAATACAATGTAAATGTAGAATATATAAAAGTCATAAATTTATAAATGAAAGCTCTAGAATCATATTTATCAAGGAGTTAACAAAGACTATCAATAAGTAACAAAATTTTTAAATTGTTCTATATTGTCAAAATTTTCTACAATTTGAGCAGATGCTCACTATTTGTTGGATAATTTTTGGAAATAAACTACTTATTTTTCACCAAAAATACAAAATAAGTAAAAATTATTCTAATAATTACATGAGAAATGATCTCTCCAAGTATGTAAAAAAGATAATCTACACAATATTCATCTCAGCTTTTAATTTTAAAAAGGTTATCAGGTTTTCATATGGAATCAGAATATTTGGGGGCTGTGATGGGATTCTGCAGGTTAATATTTTAACATTAAAATTTGAGGACCGTTGAAATAGAAGGAAAGTGAAGATGGTTAAATATGGAAAAGGAGCAATAATCTCAATGACAGTTATAATAAAAAGCCAGATGATTTCCTTCCATTTAGCCTACTGACATGGCAAGATGATGAGTCAACCGTGGATATAGAATGTATTATTTGCTGTCATATTCACAGGGCATCAGAGCTCGATTTTGTGATTTTAGAAACAGAACCCCTTAATAGGGTTCATTTTGCCATTTACAAATAATGGCTATACACTTAGTTTTAATGTACCTATTTCTGAAGCTTTCATTTCAAAAGGCTATTTTGTTATTATTTCAAGCTTATAGGACTGGACATTTGAGTGATGAAACCTTTAACTGCACTCATCTTGGATATATACCTGTGTAGTCCTGCACATACCTATCCAAAGACTAAATGCTATAATTTAGAATATTCTTCTGAGTGGGTTAGAGGGGATGTTAGTTTGAATAGGGGCACTCCATAATAGGCACTAAAATAGTTTATGTTTCCAATTTCTGAAAAAAAAGAAAGCTCAGAGATTTGATAGATGTCTATGAAGTATTTCCAAGATTTTCTCTTACTTCATACTAAGGAAATGTAGCCAAAGTCCAAATGGGAAATAGTTCATATTTTGCCATAAAGTTGTATAACTCAGGTGAATATGGTCCAATAGACTTAAGGACAGGAGGTTACTTCACACACAATGTAGTTAAGCAGAAATAGTGTAGCACTAGACTTAAGAACATTAGTTCTGGAGTCAGAGAGACCTGAATTCAAATCTTAGCTCCTATGCTTATTAGCTGTGTAATATCGGACACATTCAGTTAAACTTTCTTAGTCTCAGTTCCTCATCTGTGCAACAGAGCTTATATCACTGAGCTCAAAGAGATGTTTACTATCTTGCAGAGTGCTGGCACATCAGTAAATCATTACTAAGATCAAGAAATAGTCCTATTCGAAGATCAAAAAATATTCCTAGCACATCATATTCCTATTCTCCTTTTAGTGAAAGGTATGCAATTATATTCGTGCCAGTGTTTCCTAAAACCTGTCTTAAAAGCTCATTTGTCAGAATTCTTCATAGGGAGAGTTCTGCATATGTTGGAAAAACTATTTTGATGGGAGGCTTAGGGTGATGGTATGATCTCCAAGGGGCATCTCTTTTTAAAATTTTTAATTTTTATGGATACATAACAGTTGTATATATTTATGAGGTACAATGTGTAATCATCAAATCAGAGTAATTGGGATATCCCTCACCTCACATATTTATCATTTGTGTTAGGAGTACTCCAAATCCACTCCTGTAATTATTCTGAAATGTACAATAAATTATTGTTAACTATAGCCACCCTATTGTGCTATCAAACTTATCTTTCCCAAGAATTGTATTCGGATATCAGTCACATTAACCCTCTTCTGTTGGTTTTTCTAGCCATATCAGCTCCAACTTTTTTCTTTCCTTAGCCTCGCCTTCACATCTCCACTCCTAGCATGTGGCTTTTCTTATAAAGTGAAATTTGGCCAAAGCGAGCAGATCACATGAGGCCAGGAGTTTGAGACCAGCCTGGCCAACATGGTGAAACCTCATCTCTACTGAAAATATAAAAATTAGTCAGGCATGGTGGCGTGCACCTGTAATCCCAGCTACTTGGGAGCCTGAGGCAGGAGAATTGCCTGGAACCCGGGAGGTGAAGGTTGCAGTGATCCAAGATGGTGCCACTGCACTCCGGCCTTGGCAACAGAGTGAAACTCAAAAAAAGTAAACTTCAGTTTTCTTTTTTCTCCTTTAAATTTCATTTTCATACTCATCACCAAACTTGACAAAGTTTTGTCCTTGAAGATCATTCTTTTCAGAAGATCTGGAAGTTTTAGAAATTTTAAATAATTCTCCTGTCACATGTGGTACATAAATATCCATACTAACATGTTCATCTACACATATAAAATAATATATATTCACGTACTATACATATATACTCACTTGGCCTTACAGGCATGGTATAAGACAGGTAAATTTAAGAAGACTCTATAGGGCAAGACATTGCTCTGACCACCCTGATAAAGAACACTGAATCCACAGCAACCCATGGGGAGAATTAGATTTCATCAGAACAACAGTCTATAGAAACCTACCCTTTTTGTTTCAGTTCTTTCTTACATACTTCAACTTATGAAATTTGGTAGCTTACATTAAAGTTGATTTTGTTAATTGATTGTGAGAAAGTGAAACAAATCAATTAGGATTTTCTTCCTCACTGACAGTGACATGAGCTGGCATCACCAGACAGGAACACTTCAAATATCCATATGGTTGGTGAATTAATGAAGATGCAATACTTACTACTATAATCAAAATGCAGCTGTTTTTCACGCACCCCATAGAGGCAAACCATGACACTTGTGACTACCAATTACTGCCCATTGCAAAGGAACGATAAGGTTTTAATTAATGTTAACATCTCCCAATCAGTAAGACATATTATAAATGATGACATCCACAACATCACTTCAGGGATTTCAAATGTCTCTTTCCTCTGGTCCTCTTTGAAGGCTCTGGAAGGGCTATTCTGAGGAGGACATGAAGCACTAAATATAAGGCCACATCCATACAATGAGGGAGGGAGCCATCAAGTGTGGAGAAGATGTGGATATAGAAATGAGATTGTCACACTTCTGTACTTCCTTTTCCCTGGGATCTGTCCTGTCCAAGAATATGCAAATACCATCATTCCTTGGGAAGAATTAGTCTTACTCAAGGCTTCTGGCAAGAATATGGAACCCTAGTCCAATTTTCAAGAGCTCAGCTGTGGTAGCAGGATTGTAGAGAGCTGTGGGACTTTACCCACTGACTATATTTTTGATATTAAGGTCTTTCCTGCTGGTGTTCCTCTGATGATGCCTCTTCTACCACATTGCCTACCAAATAGTATACTCATTGTCTCCTCAAGTGTACACCTAATTTTTACTAAAAACTAAGTGAGCTTAGGGTTGTTATTCAGACTGGTTCAGTGCCACTAACTGCTCATTATCTATCCATTTGTGTCTTAGAGTGTTCCCATTGCACTTGATGGCCCCTGAGAATCTCTCAGGGTATCCTCCAATCCTGCTCATTATGACTTGCCTCTTCTCCATTTCAGCCTCTTACCATGAATACCCTTATCATGACTCTGCAGCATTCTGAGACAAGGATTTGGATTTTAGTTCCTCTTTACTCAAGACCAGAGATCAGCAGAATCTACTCCATATTTAACCCTACTCCAGAGGTTTGGGTCTGGGCGAAGTCTGTTCCAATCACACTGCTGATCTAACTAACCCAAATTCTCATGATATTTTCTTTATTTCACCTAGATATACTACCATGTTCAGGATCTTCCAGACTCAAATTATTTTCATTTCTCTTTCAGCCCTCAAGTTTTGTTGTTTATTCACACTCGTTCTTAGAATAATCTTCTCTCCTTTTCTTAGCCCAGACCTTGGAGAAGCAGTGCCATATTGGTATGTTAGTGATTCACATACCTTCTTCTAGGAACTAGATCTCATAATGATAAAAAAAAAAAAAAAAGCAAAAAAAGCCCATCAGCCTTAAGGTGGAGATAAAGTTAAAACTCCAATAGAAATCTCACCTCTGTGGAAGCTTGCCTGTTTAAACTGGCAAATCTTCCTGCGGTTTTTACCTGGAGGACTCTGTTTTGTCATTAGATGACCCAGTTTGAGCTGGGCTGGTAACCTCTTTGTTTCATTTGTTTTTGGTTCTGACATTCAGGCTACCTCTTAAATTCCTGGTTTCTAGATCATAGGCAATAACTCATTTTTGGTTTTGTTTTTAAGAACATAGAAGATAATTTCTCACAATACGGTCCCAATGTAAGCAATCAAGGTTGTCAGGGTGGCTTTATGGCATGTGGTTTTTCAAGGACTCATTTTCTGTCTAGCATCCCCTAAGATATACTTTCCTTCTGACCAGAGGTGTGTTACAGGCTTTTTTGTGATTCAGTTTGCAAAAATGGAAGAGTGAGTGGGCCTGAAAACACTAAAGATGCATTCATTTTTCATGGATGGAAATTCAGTCACATGGCCACCTCTAGCTACAACAGGGACTAAGAAATTCAGTCCTTAGCAAAGAAATTATGTGAGTTGCTAAACCTCTATTACTGTGCTGTCCGGGGAAATACACTGTGTTTTTCTGTCCTATTTTTGTGCCTATGAGCAGGGAGATTTAGAAAATTGATCAGACTCACGTTTCATCCATTTGATAAAACTGTAATAGGCATTGTGTTTTTTCATTGTGTTTTATCATTGTGTTTCAAGAAAGAAACCCGATTGTCTCTCATTTTATACATCAATAGCTGGTGTATCAGCTATTTATGCCCAGTGCTTAGATCCATTAATTTATAAATATGAGAATATTCAAATTCTACATTTTACTTTTATTTATTATTTGGAATACATTTATAAAAAGATGACTCATCTCACCGACTATTTGGTTACTGAATGACACAATTTGTAAAAGAAAGGTAGCATAAATTTTTTACTGTTTATCAGTTTTCAAGATAATGAATTGGTTTCTTATTAACCACTAAAGGTATGCAATTAGTTTTACACACACACACACACACACACACACACACAATTATAAACTCATAATGGATTCAACCTTTTTTGATAGCTTTTAATAATTTGTAATTTTTTGGAAGTTTAAATTATGGCATCTTTTGGATAGTGGGAGCCTCCTAAAGTTTGTTCTGAAGTTCTTTTTACATAACTAGCCAAACGTAATAGCTGTTTTGTATTGGTCCTTTTACACCATAGCAAGATAGTTTTGTAAGATTCAGACTGACCTGGATTCAAATTCACTCTCTTAGAAAATGTAGATAATTTAACCCTTTTGAATTGTTAGTTCCCTCATGTGTAAGAAAATGGTGATAATCAATAAATTTCAGTATTTTTTTAGATCATTAGCAGAAACTCAATAAATGGTAGACATTCATATTATAATTGTTGTTATTACACCCTGTACCTCTTTTGCTCAGTATCTCCAGAAACAATGTTAAATTCCTTTTTTATCTCCATCCTTTCCTCCCTTCACTACTTACTCCTCACTGACCTCTACCCACCTTGAGTTATAACAAATAGTTTGGGGCTCCAGTTTGAGAATTTTGTCCTCAAATACCCTGACCTGACTGTGAGAACTCATTCACAGGAGTCTTCTGGCTTGGAATTACTTTGTGTCCTGTTCCTGATATAATCCTAGAAAATAACTCATATTTGGCATGATTATTAATACTACCCCTCTCATTGTCAAAAATAACCTACAAATAATGAGATCACCCAACTCTGTCTAGACCTTGCCTCAGTTCTGAGCTCTATATGTCTTAATGTTTCCCTGCTGAGCCTGCCACTTAATAAGCACATCTTGTTCTCTCTAGAATTCTTGCTGGTTTGTGTGAGTTGTATAAAGATCCTTGAACCATGCTGCAGAAGGTATGTTTTCATATCCAACATCTCCTACCCACCAGCTATGGAACAATGTCTAAGGAACAATGACTTAAACCTCAATATTTGCATATTTAAAAATAAACTGATAGAGATCTTGCCTTTTTTCTCCTACGATTGTTGCAAAGCTAAAAGCTAAATATAACATAAATATAACATACATAACTCGATAAATGATAAAACACAGTGCAAATATAAGAGCATTCCAGTGGGCTATATCCTAGAGGCTCTTGTCTCACTCAAAGAGGCAGTGCTACACACAAAGGAAAAACTTCATGTTAGTCAGTTTGTCATTCTATTCCTAAGATGTGCAATAAAAACTTTCAGTAAAGGCTATGCAGATACTTCTAGTTTTTATATTTTGGTAGATTTTAGTCTTTTCTATCTGAGAAAAAAATTTCTCCTTTAAGCCAAGGAACTATTGTTATTGGTAGAATCATGAACAATGAGCAAAAAGAATGGGACTTATGGAAAAGGGAAGGCCTAGAAGAAGCTGGGACTTGGATAGGGTGATGCTATGATTCCCTTCAATCTTTTGTTTAACTGAGTCAAGTCTCTGGAATATGATCAGCTGCCTGGGGTTCACACCTGATGAGAGTCATTATGACAGGAACCCTAGTGTCAGGCAAATGTATACAGCTTTATACTTTTATCTCCCAGGGCTTAAATATTCTGCTACAGATCTTTCCCTTGAGTCAAACATACAACTTATGTAGAATTATATATAGGTTAGTGGTGAGCATTGCTTTTATGAGATAAGGAAGCATTTAACAATAGTCTCATTTTATTTTAATGCTTGGGACCATTTTATACCAGAAATAGAACTTTACTATGAAGGAGCAGTAGAATGCAAATAAATGCCTCATAACGTAATGTTTTGATACATAGTATTTTGATCTCTAGGAAATTCATCTGAGAGTAGAAAAGTTACATGGTTATACTGCATAGCGGTTGAGTCTGGGCTTTTAGTGTAACTATCACCCAAATAGTGTACATTGTACCCATTAAATAATTTCTCATCTTTCACCCCTTCTACCCTCCAACCCTTTTGAGTCTCCAGGGACTATTATTCCACACTCTATGTCCATGTTCATGCTTTATTTAGTTCCAACTTATCAGTGAAAATGTGGTATTTGACTTTCTAAGTTTTTTCACTTAAGATAATGGCCTCTAGTTCCATCTGTGTTGCTGTGAAAGACATGATTTCATTATTTTTTATGGCTGAATAGTATTCCATTGTGTGTGTGTGTGTGTGTGTTTGTGTGTGTGTTTTAATCCATTCATCCCTTGATGGATACTTAGGTTGAGTCCACATCTTCGCTATTGTAAATAGTAGCTTTAGCCATTATCTAGGTTAAAAAAGTACTGTGAACTTTTTTGGTGAATGCATCTGAAATTGTTGAAAAGCCAGGTGTGATGCTCAAAGGAGTGGTCAGGCTTCAGGGATATGGGAGTTATCGACACAGCAGAGAGAGTGAAGCTATGACAATGAATGAATACATGTCCATCAATAATTTTAACAAACTATACCGTAGATAAAACCAGTTTTGAAAATTGGTTTATTTCTTAAAGTAAGTCACATCCTTTTTATTTCAGTTCCTGCTTAATTATCATTACTTCTTATTTTCTTACATATTTTATAATTGCAGTCCATGATTTTAGGTTATTTTTGTCTAATTCTCTCTCAACTCTCTCTCTCATTTCTTCACACTGAATTTCTTTGAAATTTCTCTTCCCTTTGTCTCTCATCTTCTAATGTAATAAAAAATAAATTTCTAATTTTAAGCTGTTAGTCCATCATACAATCTATGAGTTACTAAAATATCTTGCATATCAGCTATGAAAATATAGAAATTTATTAATATCTTTTTGATATCCTTCCAAAAATCTGCAATCTATGACTACAGCCAAATTTACTGTAAAGGTATTTTGCTATTTCTAGAAAGGCAAAATCTAGCTTTTCTTCTTAGATGTAACAGATACTCAGCAAAAATTTTTTGGATATTGATTATGTTCCTGATACTAAGAATTTAAGCTGAATAGAATGTTCCTTTTCTGTAAACAGCTCTCAATGTAATGGGCTTTCAAGACAGAGTTTACTTAAAATCTTTTTCTCCCTCAGAACCTTCATTTGAGGCATTGGAATTATCAACTTATTGTATGCAAATGCACATGCTAAGTTTGTTTTCAATTAACGACTTGTAATTTGTTGGCTGTTTGGTCTATGCTAGCTTATTCTTGAAATGAATGACCAAGCTTTTTCTATGTTTTAAATGGCTCAGCACATATAATCTTATACAACTTAAAGCATCGTGAAAATGGCCAATATACAGAAATTTAAAATTCTTGAAAATTTTTCTGTTGTATTCTTTTTATCTTAGCCATAGTACTTCTGGAGATTCTTCTTTGTGGGACATTAAATGATAAGTGGCTCTTTGATCATCTAAACTTTTTAAAATCATCATCATACTGGTGTTTGAGAAAGAGAAGGAAAACCTTGACTTTTCTGTGCTTTTGAAATCTTTACTAAAAATACCGTTGGTGTGCAGAAAAACAGGTTCAATGTCAAATATACAGGCCAGAGATTTTGTCCTTGCTTGGCCTCTTGTGAGTCCTGGAGGGAACGCTGCAGTGGGGGCTAGTTGTGGGCAGAATAAAGGTGGTTTCTGGAAATATGGATTCCTGCCAGAGTGAGTGCTGCTTAGGTCTGTACAACGGACACTTGGTCATGTGTACGCTAAACTTCTTTGTGCCTGAGAATCTCTCTCCTGCAGCTTCCAGATGCAGGGATTGGTGAGTCTGGCATCTTTCCCTCACGTGACTTCAAGAAATGTCTGGATTTAAAATATTGCACTTCATTTATAACTGTTATATTAGAAACCTAAGTTTATTTTCATTTCCCTTTTGACATAAGGATAGCCATAAAAAATAAGTAGCATGAAAAATTATGTGGAACTATCACAGTTTGTAACTTCCATTAAAATACATAAAATTTGAGAATCACAAATTATGCCATGAAATAATATTTGAGAAGAAAATGACTGTTCACAGCAGGGTGCTAACCTCTGCGAGAAGACTTTGTTAGTTTCAGCAAAGTCACTGAATTATAACCAATTTACAAAAAAAAAAAAAAACAAAACAAACAAACAAATAAACTCAATCTTTTTCTGGTCTCCTTCAAAACAACCCATTCTTGCTTGGCTGTAAAACCTGAGAATGGACCCAAAAATGCTGACTAGACTATAACTGGTTTTACTTATTTTCTTAGCTTGTTATATACTCTTCTCTCCATCACTAATAGGTAAAATATTATTTCCTGGTTGTTTTGAACTTGAGTTTGAATGTACTTTTATGTGAACTATATTAAGAAGTAATTTTAATTAGAAAGTGAAAGTGGTAGATTTGAGAGAGAATAGGATTTAAAGCCCAGCAACAGTTTCCAATCCTACAATCCTTCAATCCTTCCTACTCCATTTGCTGCCTGTGTGACCGTAAACACATTTTTCTGAATATCCATGATATTCTTTTGAAAATAAGAATGATAGTAATTCTTCTGTCCACACAGAATTAATGGATGGATCAAAGGACAATGTATATGAATGCTTTTAGTAACCACATGAAAGTTATTGCTAATAATGACTGGAAAAGAATTCTTTAAGACTATATTTATTCAGAATTGAAATTTGAAATGGAGTCTACATTTAACTGTACATTAACTATCAAGAAAATGATAAGAAAAAAGGAAATTAATGAATGTGATGACATAATTTCAAAGTAAAGGTTTTAGCTAGAAAAATAATATTTTAAGGACTTCATCATATAGTTACTATTTATATGTAATACTACAGAATCTAAATAAGTCTCTAAATCTTAACAAACCTATTTGCATATATTTTGATTCATCAGTTTTTGGCAGAAGGAATCTAAATAAGAATGGAAGACAGCTTGGTTTAAGACATTAAAAACTTGTTCATTTGCTTGCTTCTTTGTGGTTTGTTAATTTAGCTTTTGGCCATTTGGTTCATTGTTCTCTGACGTTATTAAAAAGATTCAAGAAAGAGAAAAAAAGTTAAATTTGAAATGGTGTCATTTGGGCTAAAATAATAATGAATTAAAAGCAAATAATGTAAAAATAGTCTAAATATTTCAGTTTTGTCTGTAAAAATGATTAGTTCTTCTAAACATTCCATTAACTCAGCGTTTCATGATTGTAGTTCCTGAAATATTGAATGAGAACTGCCTGGAATATTCATTTAAAATGTACGGGGCTCAGAGTTTTGAATCAGAATTTCTGGAGGTGGTATTAAGATTACCAGCATCTGCAGTATAGACAAGTATGCCAAATGGGTCTTGGGCATATTAAACATTTCAAATCACCACACCATCTATGAACCTGTGTAAGTGTGTATGTGTGCACCCCACTTTTATTTCCATGCTCATGTAAGCTGGGAAAGCACTGATGGGAGGTTATAGGGAGCAGGCATTATTAATTCTATGTTTCTAAGACACATATTATATGACAGATTTGTCATTTTTAACTTGATGAATTTAAAATTAAGTCCATTGATAGTAACATGGAAGGCATTTTTCAAAAATATGTTAACTATTTGCATCTGAGCTCACTTGATAATGTGGCAAGCTGCACATAGATTATAACTTTTCATTAATGAAAGGAGAGAAAATCCTCTCCTTGGCCATATTCCTCTAAGACTATCCTACGGTAGATTTTTCACTCTTCTGAGTAGACTTTATTCTCATCCTAAGTTACATGCTGGTGCATCTTAGAAGCTTGACTTTACCCTCTGCTCAATACTGCTCCCTTCTCCTCACATCCATAGTGTTGATCGCCAGGGCACTCATTAGTTAATACCCTGTCCATTACTCTTAATATCAGAGTCTGCTTCCAGGAGAATCCACCCTGTGACAGGGTCCTGCCCATATTCTGTTGGTTCACCCCAGAGGGCCCCTTCAGGCAGTTCCTGTCCACATAGGCAGCTTTGTGTGTGTCTCTATTTGAAGGTGCTCTCTAGTTGCAGAAGCCTGCTCCACCGCTATAGATCTAGATAGGAAAGCTGGAAGTGAACTCCCAACTAACGAGAATGGGAATAGTAGGAAACAGATGAACATGCATCCCAGCCTCCTCACCCCTCAGTGGAAAAACTGGGAGATATGTGTTTCAGTCTCATTCTCAGAGGTTTAACTCTAGTTGCCTGGAGTGATAACCTGTTCATTCTTATGTCCTATACTGACTACCTTCCTTTTCCTGTCTTATTCTCTCTGCTCCTGACTACTGTCTTCCTGAGATCACTTACAAGTGAATAAATTGAACCCAATCCTTTTGGGGCCCGCTTTGGGGAGTCCAAACCATTATAAAACAAGATGTTGGAATTTGTAGCCTTTGCTTCATTTCCATTTTGATTTGCACATATTGTTACTGTGTCTCTCTCTCAACACTCTTTTATGTTGGTAGAAGTTTAAATAATTTGCTATACATAATATTTTATCACTAAAAAAAGAACAGTACAGGACTGCACATGCAGGTTGTTAGAATAACAATTAGGCATTCTGGGAGGGTTGTTTTGGTCTCAATTTGGTCTCAATTGATCCCTACAGAACATACTGAACTTAGTGATATTTAAAGAAAATCCACTGTAGAAGTTTCCATTTAAAACTGTCAGTCGGGAGCAGTGGCTCACTCCTGTAATCCCAGCACTTTGGGAGGCCAAGGGGGGTGGATCACGAGGTCAGCAGATTGATACCATCCTGGCTAACATGGTGAAACCCTGCCTCTACTAAAAATACAAAAATTAGCCGGGTGTGGTGGCCCATGCCTGTACTCCCAGCTAGACAGGAGGCTAAGGCAGGAGAATCGCTTGAACCCAGGAGGCAGAGGTTGCCGTGAGCTCAGATTGTGCCACTGCACTCCAGCCTGGGTGACAGAGCGAGACTCCATCTCAAAAAACAAACAACAATAACAACAAAAAACCTGTCTAAACAACACTTGCACTCATTATCACAGCAGTATTCATAATAGCAAAGGCATGAAATCAATCTAAGTGTCCATTTACAGTAGATTGGATAAAGAAAATGTGGTACATATACACAGATATGGTTTGGCTGTGTCCCCACCAAAATCTCATCTTGAATTCCCACATGTTGTGGGAGGAACCCAGTAGGAGGCAATTGAATCATGGGGATAGGTCTTTCCCACACTGTTCTCGTGATAGTGAATAAGTCTCACGAGATCTGATGGCTTTATAAGGCAAAGTTTCCCTGCACAAGCTCTCTATTTGCCTGCCACCATCCATATAAGAGGTGACTTGCTCCTCCTTGCCTTCTGCCATGATTGTGAGGCTTCCCCAGCCATGTGGAACTATAAGTCTAATAAACTCTTTCTCCTGTATAAATTACCCAGTCTCAGGTGTGTCTTTATCAGCAGCATGAAAACAGACTAATATATACACCATGGAATACCATGCAGCCATAAAAAAAGAATGAAATCATGTCCTTTGTAGCAACATGGATGCAGCTAGAGGTCATTACCCCAAGTGAATTAATGCAGAAACAGACAATCAGATACCACGTGTTCTCACTTATAAAGGGGAGCTAAACAATGGGTGCATATGCACATAAATATGGAAACAATAGACACAAAAGACTCCAAAAGCAGGGTGGGAGGGAAAGGGAAAAGGTTTGGTAAAACTACATACTGGGTATCATGTTCACTATTTGGGTAATGAGTTCACTAGAAGTCCAAATCCCAGAATTATGCAATATATCCATGTAATAAATCCGTACATATACCCCCTGAATCTATAATAAAAATAAATAAATATTAATAAAACTGTCTAAAGAAGACCTCAAGTACCAAACACACACTTCCTTTGCTGTTTGCAATAAAATGGTTCTTATGTTCTTATTGTGAATATTTTTATAACCATATTAGAAAGGGAAATATGATGCATAGAGTTACAAAATTTCAAAGTTTATGTGTTATTACATTTGTTTTCCTTGAATCATTTTATTTTATTTTTCCTTTCACTCTAGGAAAAGAAAAGAAAAAATGAAAATTACTTTTCCTTTCATGTGGTCAAGCTAACAAATCTAAACAAGTGGAAATATATGACATGCCAAGAAATCTAAAATACTAGACTTTCTGTGATCTCAATTTAAATTACTTCTAAAAATGTTTTAATTCTATTGGCTATGAGAAGTATAATTTGGTAAAAATCCATTTTATCTAATAAAAATAGACATAACTATCCAATCAAAATATTCAAATCAGTTTCTTTAATCACGTGTTTACTTCAAGATGATGAAAAACTATACATTTTATTATTGTATGAGGTATAGTAACTGAGTTATTTATTCTAAAAGTAGTTTGGGAAATAAGGGAGATGCCATCAATCAGCTTCCCAGTATTATATGCCCTGTTTTTTGTTTGTTTGTTTGGAGAAAGGGTCTCACTCTCTTGACCAGACTGGAGTGCAGTGGCATGATCTTGACTCACCTCAACCTCCGCCTCCCAGGCTCAAGCAATTCTCCTGCCTCAGCCTCCGGAGCAGCTGGTATTACAGGTGTGCCCCACCATGCTCAGCTAATTTTTGTATTTTTAGTAGAGACGGGGTTTCACCATGTTGGCCAGGATGGTCTTGATCGCCTGACCTCAAATGATCCACTTGCCTCAGCCTCCCAAAGTGCTGGGATTACAGGTGTGAGCCACCGTGCCCAGCCCTTGCTTTTTTTAAAAAAATTAATAATTGAGTAGAAATTTACATAACATAAAATTAACCATTTTAAATGTGCATTCAATGGCACTTAATACATTTACTGTTGTGCAACTGCCACCTCTATCTAGTTCTAAAATATCTTCATCACTCCAAAAGAAAACCTGTACTTGCTAAGCAGTCACTCCCCATTGCCCTTCTCTCAGCCCTAGCAACTACCAATCTGCTTTCTGTCTCTAAGGAATTACCTATTCTGAGTATTTCATATAAATTGAATCATATGATTTGTGACTTTTTTTGTCTGACTTCTTCCACATAGAAAGTTTTTGATATTTCTTCATGTTATAACACGTATCAGTACTTTATTTCTTTTTATGGCTGAATATGATTCCATTGCACATACACAGACACATGTACACACACACCACAATTTGCTTATCAATTTATCTGTTGATGAATATTTGAGTTGTTTCTACATTTTGGCTATTGTGAATAGTGCTTCGATGAACGTAAGGGTGTAAATATTTGAGTACCTGTTTTCAGTTCTTTTGGGTATACACTTCAGAGTGGAATTGCTTGATCATGTGGTAATTTTATGTTTAACCTGAAGAACTGCCAGTGTTCCACAGCAGCTGCATCATTTTACACTCGTACCAGAAATCTGTGAGGCTTTCAATTTTTCTACCTCTTCCACACATCTTTCCCAACACTTATTTTATTTCCTTTTTATGGTTGTTGTACTCATCCTCATGCATGCAAGTGGTGTCTCATTGTGGTTTTGATTTGTATTTCCCTGATGACTAATTATGTTGAACATCTTTTCATGTGCTTTTTTTGTTCTTGTGTTCTTTTGGATAAGTATCTCATGCATTTCCCTCATTTTAAATTGAGTTGTCTTTTTATTGTTGAGTTGTGAAATTTATTGATGGAGTTGGAACACTAGATGTATTATTAGATACATTATTTGAAAATACTGTCTTCTATTTGATAGGTTGTCTTTTTACTTTCTGGACAATATCCTTTGATGAACAGAAATTTTAATTTTGATGAAGCTAACTTATCTTTTTTATCTTTTATTGCTTGTGCTTTTGGTGTCATATTTAAAAACACATTGTCAAATCAAAGGTCATAAGGATTTATCTAATATTTTCTTCTAAGTATATTATGGTTTTAGCTCTTAGACTCAGTCTAAGTGTCCATTTACAGTGCACCGATGCATTTTGAGTTACTTTTTATATAAGGCGTGAGGTGGGTAGGGCTCCAATTTTGTTCTTTTACATGTGGACATCCAATTGTCTCTGTATGATTTGTTGCGTATTCAATCCCCATTGAATGGTCTTGGCACCCTTCTAGAAAATCAAGTGGTCATAGCTGAATGGGTTTGTCTTGGGGCTTTCAATTCTATTCCTTTGCTCTATGTCTATCCTATACTAATACCACACTATTTTGATTTCTGCAGTTTTGCAGGAAGTTTTAACATTGAGAAGTACGAGCCCTCCAACTTTGTTTTGTTTGTTTGTTTGTTTTTTGTTGTGTTTTTTCTGAGATGGAGACTCACTCTGTTGCCCAGACTGGAGTGCAGTGGCACAATCTTGGCTCATTGCAACCTCTGCCTCCTGGGTTCAAGCAATTCTCCTGTCTCAGCCTCCCAAGAAGCTGGGATTACAGGTGTCTACCACCATGCCCAGATAATTTTTTGTATTTTTTTAGTAGAGTCAGTTTTTTGCCATGTTGGCCAGGCTGGTCTCGAACTCCTGACCTTGTGATCCACACACCTCACCCTCCCAAAGTGCTGGGATTACAGGTGTGAGCTACCATGCCTGGCCCCAACTTTGTTATTCTTTTAAAATATTTTGGCTGCTTGGGAATGTTTGTAATAAAATATAAATTTGAGAATCAGCTTTTCCATCTCTGTAAAAACAGTCACTGAAATTTTGATGGGGATTACTTTGAATCTGTAGATTGCTTTGGGTAGAATTATCATCTTAACAATATGAAGTTTTCCAATTAATGAACATGGGATATCTTTTCTTTTTTTAGTTTTTCTTCACTTTCAGCAATGTGTTCTAGTTTTTACTATAAATTTTGATCACCTTGGGTAGAAGTGCTCCTTCTTCTATGAAATTGAAATTTTTTTCAATTTCATAGAAGAAAATGAAATTATTTTCTTAATTTTCTTTTTGGATTGTTCATTATTGACCTATAGAAACACAACTTATTTTTGTATGTCAAAATACATACATATTGACATTTTGTATGTCAAGTACAAAATTTTGTACTTGCAGTTTCGCTGAATTTATTAACTCCATTAGTTTTTCATGGAATCTTTGTGATTTTTACATATCATCTAAAATCATCTGTTTATTGATTCTTGTTTTACTTCTTTCTTTCCAATTTGGATATCCCTTCCTTCCCTCCCTCCCTCCCTCCTTCCTTCCTTCCCTCCCATCCCTTTCATTCTTCTGTTCTCCCTCTCTCCCTCCTTTCTTTCCTTTTCTTTTTTTTCTTTCTCTCTTTCCCTCCCTCCCTCCCTTCCTCCCTTCCTTCCTTCTTTCTTTCTCCTAATTTTTGTGGCTAGAACTACAACAACAATGTTGAATAGCAGCAGTGAAAGCAGGCATCCTAGACTTGGTTCTGATCTTAGGAGGAAAGTTTTCAGTCTTTAACCATTGCTTATGATGTTAACTGTGGGTTTTTAATATATATCCTTGTTCTTTTTCATTCTTCATGAGTGAAAAATTGCATCCTATTCGTAGCTTACCATGTGTTTTTATACTGAAAGGGTATTGGATTTTGTGATTTTTCTGCATTAATTTACATGGTCATGTGTTTTTTGTTTTGTTTTGTTTTGTTTTGTTTGGGTCCTATTAATGTATGTTGAACCACTCTTGGATTCCTGAAATAAATCTCACTTGGTTATGGTACATGATACTTTTAATATGCTGTTATATTAAGTTTGCTAAAATTTTGTTGAAGATTTTTCGTATCCATGAATATGGATGTGAACTGATCTGTAGTTTTTTTTTTTTTTTTTTTTTGTGGTGTCTTTAAAGGGCTTTGATATCGGGGTAATAGTCTCATAGAATGACTTAGGAAGTATTCCTTCATCTTCTGTTTTTTAGAACTGTTTTAGAAGAATTGGTGCCAAGTCTTCTTTAAATATTTGGTACACTTCACCAATAAAGCCCTCTGGTCCTAGACTTTTCTGTTTGGGAATTTAAATAATAATTATTATTGATTCAAGCTCTTTATTTTTTATACATCTATTCAGATTTTCTATCTCATCTTGAGTCAATTTTGGTAATTTGTATATTCCTAATTTTTTTTATTCAATGAGTTTATCTACTTTGTTTGTTCATTTTATTCTCTTATAATCCTATTTATTTCTGTAGGGCTGTAGTAATGTCCCCACTTTCACTTCTGATTTTAGTTATTTGCACATCCTCTCCTTTTTCTCGGTAAGTCTAGCTAAAGGTGTGTCAATTTCATTGATTTTTCTCAAAGAAGTAACTTTTGACTTTGGTTATTTTCCTTATTGTTATTCTATTCTTTATTTTATTTATCTCTGCTATAATATTTATTATTTCCCTCCTTTAGCTACATTTGGGCTTAGCTAACACTTTTTCTAATTTCTCATAGTGTAAAGTTGTTGATTTGATATTTTTCTTTTTTTAATTTGCAGCTAAAAATTTTCTCCTCAGCACTGCTTTTTCTGCATCCCTTAAGTTTTGCCATGTTGTGTTTTTATTTTTATTGTGGGGGAAGGTAGAAAGAAAGACTTTACATTTATCTTTGGATAGATTGAGTTTGAGCTACCTGTGAGACATTAAAGTAAAGGTGCTGATTAGGGAGATGTATTTGCACCTGGAATTCAGGAGAATGGTATAGACTACAGACACAGGTTTAGAAATAATTAGCATATAAGTATAAGTCATATTGGTAGGTAATAGTTAAAACCATATAAGTGAGTGAGCAGCAGAAAGTATATACAAAAAGAGAAAAGCCCCTCATGAATACCAACATTTGAAAATTGGATAGGGATGGAGAAGCCAGCAAAAGAGGTTAAAAATATGTCTAAGGACTGGGAGTGAGGGTGAGGAGCAAAGGAAAGAGAGTATTTCAAGTTTTCTTACTCTGTAAGAAAACATGCAAAGATGTTGAGATGTAGAGAAAAATTAGGAGTGAAAAGTGTCCTTTGGATTTGGTGACCTGGAATAAATGGTAATGTCAGGGGGTGCAGATAGGTAGAGCAATAGGAGATGTGAGCAGATTGGATGATAAGGAGATATGGAAGTTGATACTAATTTGAGAGGTTTAATCACGAAGAGCAAAAGAAGCATAAAGTGTCAAATGAGCAGTAAAAAAGGGTTGAAGGAAAGATTTTTGTTAATGGAATGACTTACAAAATTTAAAAGTTGTTAGGAAGGAAGCAACATAAAGGCAAAATTGAGGTGCAGGGTACAGAGACTAGTCAATATCCTATAATTCCTAAGAAAATATTAATTATTTACTGTCTTGTTGGATTGCATAATTTTTAAGCATACATTTTATTTCTTCAGCTAAATTTAAGTTATTTGGTAATCGATAGGTCATTTTCCTGTTTGGATTTACACAGTCTGAACTCAGATATACACACAGATATACACACATATTGTAGACACACTATAGACACACTCAGGTATATGTACACATTCACATATTCCACAGTAACGATTGTACATAGTTGATACTCCTTACACATTTGTTTTTCGCTAATGAATCAAAATATTTAAAGGTTAGTGACCTAGGAAAGACATTTCTCAGTGACTCTACCAACAGCTTTCTCTTCTATCTTAATAGAAAATGATAAACCATGTTCATATCCTCTCATTAGTATTCAGCAGCAATAGAAGAATACTAAATCCTCACTGAATAATTTAGTTTGAAATGTTTACCCTTTGATGTACAAGTGCAACATAACTAGAAAAACACCATGTATTGCATTCATTTTCAGAAGCTAGCATTTTAGAATATGTAACACTTTAAATGCCGGATAAGACCCTGCAAAACGCTGAACAAAAAGCTTCAAAAAGGTTTCAAATTTCTGCTGATACATTTACTCTCATCTTCCCACCCCTGCTTCACATCCATCTTTGCACGTACTATTCAAAGCCTAACCAAAGATTCCTGGGCCACTATTTGTGCTCTTTATCCTAGTCTCAAATATTGAAGGTTGAGAAGTTTCTATTGTGTGTTAGCTCCAGCTATATTTTTAAGACCCTACAGTTGCCCAAGTACTAGAATTCACCACCAAGTGGGCACTGATAGAGGTATTACAATCAATAGGAAGAGCAAATGGACTGAGGTTGCCTCTGCCGTTGAAAAACTCTAAGGCTTGGATGAGACATTTAATTGAGCCCCATTTCCTTGTTTTTAAAGTGAGACTAGATTCACTTACCTAACAACTTAACTACTTTCAGGATTAAAAATAAATGGCCTGGCAGACAGTGAGCCCTCAATGAATGGTTGCATTTTACTGGAGTAAGGAAAACACTTTCTTTCATCTTGTTCCCATCTTTGCCTTTACCAGGAAAATTGAATAATTTCAGTTCCTTCTCTCTCCTGGATTTCTTATTTGGGTCAATTTATGCTCAAACCTGTGATGTGCTGGAGGAAGGACCTGGACCATTTTTCTTACTCCTACATATGGTGATAAATGGGGCATATTATTGAGATTCATTGACTGTAATTATGGCAACTTTACTTGGCAGCTTATCTTTTTCTGCTCTTTTATGTCTTAGAAAGTGATATTTATTAATATTTAACTTTTATTTATGTGCCTATTTAGTGGTGTGTGCTGTACAGATAATCCAAAAATGCCTACTTTCTGGTTTTAAGAAGCTTATTCTCTAAAATGACAGACAGATCTATTCATGCCCTTGAGGGATAAAAAGTGGAGAACAGTTGCGTGTTGGCAGGGGGTGCCACTCTGTGATCCAATGTGCTTTCTATCCCTGTCCTATATATATTCTCAGTCTGATTTATGTGCACATTTAAGATTCCCACAGGTCTGTATGAAAGCGTTAGGTCAGCCCACAGTGCAGGGTGCTGGCCCGCAGCGTTCCTTCTAGGCTCCAAACGTAAGGGTGGATGTTGGGTTAAGTGTTTTTTTTTTTTTTTTTCCTGTTTTTTGTTTTCCTACCTGTGATTCCAAAAGGACATAGCTCTATTAGGTTGTAGGTTAGAGATCTTGCCAGGATCCCAGAATTAGGCAGAGTCTCTACACAGCAAATAAACAGAAGGCAGAAGACAGAGCAAGTCAGAGTTGAGGACTCTTGGGGACTTACAAGACAAGCGTGACTCTTAAAAGCCTGGCTGTGGATACAGGCCAGCTGTTGCCTAGCAACATGAGACCAGCTAATAAGGAGAAGTTGGAGGCTTATTTTCCTAGACTGCAGGTAATTTTTCTAGGGGAGTTTGGAAAGTGTGTTTTTGTAACTTTTTCTTTTCTAGAGTCTAGCATTTGCTCTGCATGTCAATTAGATAGAAGAATTTAGTGAGTTCTCCCTGCATGCAGAGTGATCTCTTTTGGTGGTTCTGTCCCTTCAGCAATGAGAGCATAGATACTATATTTAAAATTGAGGGCTCAGGAGTAATTTGGTAAGCACTACTTAATGCAAAGTAGCAGTGGTGGCTGCACACATTTCTGAAATAACAAGGCAGATGGAAACTAGCAGTTGTGAGGAGACAGTGGTAAGTAAAATATCAGCTGAACTTCTTAAAAGAAGTATCTTTCCAGAGTGATGGCATCCTACCCTTTGGAAACATTTATAATTCCTAGGTTTCATTGTCATGTGACTAAACAAACTGTCCAAAGCCAGATTAGGAGAACTGCTATAAAAAATGCGAGTAGTTCATTCCTATAACCTAGAGCACTCAAAGAGCTGTCCACAGGCAAGTGCTGGCCTGCAACATGTTGCTGGTCCTCAATAGGTATAGAAATTGAAAGTAATCATTTACAAGCTTTTAAAAAGCAATTTGACAGAGTAGTTTTATATCTTTTAATATATATTTCAAAATACGGCTTATATTTTTACAGCATTTTTATTTATTTTACAATAATTCATTTTTATTTTATTTAAATGAATGTATTAGTGACAATGTATTGGAAATTAGAAACAAAAAACTGATCTTTCAACACAGATAGTAAGAGAAACTGCTCTAGACCAAAGGTCAACGAACTTTTTTGTAAAGATCCTGCTACTAAATATTTTATGATTTGTAGATCATATAGTTTTAGTTGCAATCAGTGCCTCAGCTGCTGAAGGGAAAACAGCAATACATAGACAAATTGATATGGTTGTGTTCTAATAAAACTTTATTTACAAAAACAAGTGGTACCTCTTGCTCTAGAACAATACTTCCCAAACTGTACTGAGAAATCAACTCATAAAGATCTTGATTCAGCATTTACGGGATGGGATCTGGGATGCTATGTTTCTGACAGTCTCTTAGATGATGCTGATGATTCTGGTTCATGGGCTCACTTTGAGTTTCAAAATTTGATAAAAGAATTGATAAGTTGAAATTTGAAAGACAAGATCAGAACCCGCTGTGCTATTTGCTTGCAGAGTAACTGAAGGAGAAGTTATTTATCTTTTAAACCTCAGTTTTCTCATCTGAAAAATGGAGATGATAATTTCTATCTCACTTAATTTTTTGTTGAGTTTAAATGTAATTATGTATGGGAAAATGTTTTCTAAAAAATACAAAAATAATGCTAAAAGGTGTAATGTAGGAGTAAGATTTGTCACTACCTTTAATTTTCTTTATACTACTTCAGTTTAAAACATGTGAGGAAGTGTATGCAGGTTAACTTGTATCCACACACTAGGGAAGTTCATTTTTATTTGAAGTACCCTAGTTATGAATAGATACGCTGTCTGTGTTTAGTCAGGATCTGAAGGACCTTTATTATGAGTTCACACAGAGGTGGCTATGGGAAGCAAGTCAACAAGTGCTGTGTAAACATGCATTAGAGGTTTTGTTAATACCGACATTAAAAAATGGTATTTATCGTAAAAATAAGTGCAGTTCAATGAATGGCTAAAAGACAACAGGTTTGAACAAAGTACATGTAATGAAGCAACCAGTCCAGCAGCCTGAAACTTCAGAGTGAGCCTTATATGTAGAACACCTTCTGGTTTTGTCCTTCACTTAACAAGCCAACTAGGTCCAACAGGAAGTTTACCTGAAAAAGCAGTCAGAACAGTCTTGCATTTTTTCATTGAAGGGACTCTTTCTCTCCACGTCTTGCCAGAAATATCTTTGTCTGAAAGGACAAAGGAACCAGGACCTCACCAATCTTACAGAACAGGTTGTATGAGTCTCTTTTGTGTCTACCTGCAACTAAATATTTCTCTAAGGGGCAAGATAGAATATAAGACTTGCTTTCAGCTGCTTGGTACCGAGGTGGTTGGGGAGAAGATACATAGTTCCACCGTCTCTGATTTCCCAAACCTAACGGTTGTGAATGGCCAATTGGCTTCAGAGAGTTCACTGCATAAGTCATTATTATTTCTACAGCATAGGGTCCTGCTAAATATTAACATTTTCCTAAGTTTTCTTCCACTAAAGGAAGGTATGAGGAAGCCATTTTGGATTTACTGAGAGGAGCTAAACTCACCCTCTTAGGACCTGGGTGAGAAGGGCATCTTGTGTCTCTGAAGACAGTTGTGCTGAGAAGAGAAGGAATAGGGCAACTGATTCTTTCTCCTACAACATTGACCTGCAATGAGACCCTGTGTGCCTGACAATTGCAGAAAATAGCTTTATCTAAGATAGAAAAGAAGGTGGTTCTCCATTATCTAAAATAGAAAAACTGGGAGATCTGACAGAGAGGGATCTCTTGAGGAAACAGAAATGAAATTCAGGTTAATAAAAGAGAAGGGTCACTGAACCAATTCTGACAGTGTTCTCGGTAGCCCTGGGATGTGGCTTTGAGAGTGAAAACAAGGAGGACTTCTGCCCTGTGAGCATCAGCCCAGAAGGAGGAGTGCAGTTGAGGACTTGGCCTTGTCTTGGCATTCCAAGTCTGGATTTCTGGGCCCCCTTATGACATACACTCCAAACTTTTCCTTGTATTTGCAGCAGAAGACAAGTCCAAGCAACCTTAACTTTAGAGACAAAGTGACCTGTGAGTGCTAAACAAAAGTATAGATGCATTTTAAAACACCTCTGGGTACGTGAAAGCCCTTAGTAAAAAATTCCTATGGAAGAGGAAGGTGGGGTTCTGGGTGGAGGCATGGTTGGACTCATCAGCCTTCCTGAGTCTGGCTGGTAACCTGAGGCTGACTGTGTAGGGCTTGAAAATGAGGGCAAAGAACTGCAAAATTGGGAGCTCAATAGAGGGGTCCTCTGGGCTAACTCAATCTAAGAGAATGAGACCCTTCATCTACAGTGATGCCCAACATCCTGGGAGAGATTCGCATGTCGGACTGGTTCTCAAGAGTGACACCATGTGGCAGTAAGAAAAAAAAATCCTTGACTGAACGCAGTTTTCTCCCAGTTGATGTAAAAGTTGGATTGATCCCGTCCCTCAACTACATCAACTGCATGACATTTGACAATTTATAAAGGAGACATAATCCTGAAAAGAGAGGTTCCTGATAATAATGTAGATGGAATCTACAGTCATTAATTGGAAAGTAATAGAGATGTGGTTATACTGGAGTCCCTCTTTTGTGAAAGAGTTCATAGGTTTATTGTAAGAATCAAATGAAATAACTGATGTATTGATTCCTTAAAAGGAACAAAATAAGTTAAAGGTGGTAGTCATAAAGTTATCATAGGTGGTATTTATTACAATTCTTTTCATAGGTTGGCAATTTGATGTTAGATAAATTAAGTAGTTAGGCAAATATCCCCCTTCCCTCTTTTTGTTCTTTTTACATTTCTATATCTGGAGAACTGTTATGCATTAAATTATGTCCCCTAAAAAGATATGCTCAAGTCAGTACTTTTGACGTGACTCTATTTGGAAATAGAGCCTTGCCTGATGTAATCAATGTAAGATGAGGTCATTAGGGTGGACTGTAATCTGATGTGACTGGTGTGCCTATGAGAAGAGGAGAAGAGACCCAAAAAGAAACATACACAGGAAGAATGCTAAATGATGATGGAAACAAAGATTGGGGTTATGCTGCCACAAGCCAAGGAATGCCTGGAGCTACAAGAAGATGGAAGATGGAAGGAAGGAACTTTCCCTAAAAGCTTTGGAGGGAGGATGGTCCCACCAACAACTTGATTTCAGTCTTCTAGCCTCCAGAACTGTGAGGGAATAAATTTTCGTTGCTTTAAGCCACCTATTTTATGACATTTTGTTAAGGAAGCACTAGAAAACTAATACGAGGACTAATCAATTTTAAAATGGAGAATGTTCCTCTCACTCTGAGAGAATGATGTCAGGAAAACACAGACAAGGTGCTGATAAATGTAAAAATAGGATGACTTTTATATGCAGCTTAAAGTTAAGAAATGAGTTTTATTAGAGCTCTAATCTTTTCGTGGAAGGGGTGTATACTTCCAGGCTAAAGGAGCCCAACAAATGGGACACTTTTCAGGCCCCTGAGGGAAAGACGTGGGATACGGTTCAAGTTCTGCCCTCCTCAAGACTTTCTACTCTTCTTCCTATTCCCTCCATTTCCCCATCTTTCCTCTTTGCTTTCTTCATCCTTTACCCAGTAGCCTCTAAAACAGTTTCCTCTTCTTTCCAGTATCTTTAATATAGTTCTGGATTGAGAATTTTAGTTTGTAAATCTTCCTAGTTGAAAGATAGCCAAGTTTCCTAGAAAGCTGTTTCGGGGCCCTTTTGCCCTTAGGAACTGGCATTTCCCCTGAAGTATAAGCAAACATGGAAAATCACCAAAATCAGAGTGATACCCTGGGACTTCAGCTAATAAGCTCAATTCCTTGTTGTTTCTCAACATTAGTGGATGGGTATACTAGGTAATTGATTTATTTTCCCGAGATAGCACTTAGTTTTGAGCCTGGGCATATTTAAAGAAAGGGGATTGAATAACAGGTGAGTCAGCACCAGCTTCTGCTTCAGTGATGGGTGATTTGGGACTTGTCTATGAAGGGAACATGGAGCCTCCTGGAAAGAAAAACGAACCTTACCCACCCACCCCCAACACAGATATATGCATACCCCTCATAAAGCTGCTACTCGGATGTGAGAGGGAGAGGAAAACTGATACAAGTTCTAAGGCCTGAAATGGAAACACCAGCAAGGGACTCTTTTGGATTAGTTTCCTAGCAACACAAAGCCAGGGTACTTTTAACATTTTGCTGTCATTCCTTGAAAATAATGACACCGGAAAGAATCTGAGCAATAAGAAAAAAGAGAGGAGAAAGAGCTTATGGATGGCTAACATTCTATTCAATTCCAGTATCTTAACAACAAAAATAAATGATGATAATGCCCATTTTCTCCCTAATCCATGCCTCTTCAGTGATTAATTAGAACAGAATTGGACTCTGAAATGAAAATTGTAAAATGGGCTTATTGTTATTTGTGGCCCTGTGGTTCTGAACTGACCTAGGCCAATTCGTCCATTCACGACTGAGATATCAGACGTAACGTAATCTTAGGGGTGAAGAGGACTCTAGGTTTCCTCTTCTGTACTTTCACAACCAGGAGAAATGTTAAATTAAGGCAAATGTCAGAACAAATCTGCCATAATGCAAATATTTATGAACAAGCATATTGCAAAACATTAACTATGCTGTTTTTTCCGCTCCAAAAAAGTTCCAGTTCTCTGTGTTTTCATGCACAACCAAGCATTTTGCATGAAATCCTCATTTAAGACAGGTATGATGCTATTCTCATAGCAGCATTCAGTTAACCTTTTAATCAGAATTCAGGTCCAGGATGTTTGAATGAGATCCATAGTATCTTTAAGTGATGGTATCCAGCACTAAATTAAAACCCTTAATCCCAGGAATTTATATAGCTTAAGCAAGGGTGGAGATGCTTGTAGACTATTTCTAGCCATATTCATAGCTCTTAGACACCATTTTACCAATTAAAATTATTTTTTAACATCTTTTGTACAATTACAATCTGCTCTAGGAAGACTTAGGTATGGGAGTGTTGAAACTTTTGTAGAAGCTGCCTCTGAAATCTAATTTGAGTTTTTCAGATCTTAACAAACCCTCCTTGAAGCATGTATATCTGATTAGCACTTAAAACATTTGCTAACTTACCCTCCATCCCCCTGATGTACATAAAGTTAACTTATATACATATAAATCATTTTGTTTGAAATACTTTACATTAAATGTTGATAATTAAAAATCTATCCTCTTTGTTCTGTCAAGATGCTAATTATCCTCTGAGTTATTAAAATCTGCTCTCAAATCTTTTTACACAAAAATAGCAATAGATTTCAATATTTTCATTGAGCTAGAAATAAAAACCTTTTAAAATTTTAAAACATTATTTTAAATATGGGACTGATCCTAGTAGGTCAGCTCCTTTAAGTCACTTATCCCCGTCCCCTGCTGACAGAGTTTGATCAATTAACCTGGTATTGTACGCACTATCCCATTAGCCAGATCAGGAAAAGAAACACGTATCACTTTAACACAACTCTTTTTATATTTGATATCAATGTTTAAAAAGTAAGGTAAGTGATGGAACTAAGAAATGACTACTACTATATCTTACCAAGTAATATTTGCCTTGTTGAACTCATTGAGACCAGAGACTGGTTATTAGCCTAAGAGGCAGAATTTGAATTTGCCAGTGTTCTGGAATTGGTTATGTTTGAGGACACTCACTTATGCTAATTATACAACCAAATAACTGACAAAAAGACCAGAAAAGTAACTAATTCACAATGAAAAACACAATTGCCAAGTGAACCTAATACTAGCATTAATTTGACCCATCTACTTTTTCCCTGTAGGCAAACTACTAAGAAAATCAAATGATCAAGGTTCCAGTTGAACAAGGAATCAAAAAAGAGATTGCTTGTCTATATGAATTAAATGTTTATGCCATAGATCTCAGCCAGACTGATGGGTCTCCATTATAGGGGTAGTTGATTTGACAGGTGCCCATACTACCTATTGCCATAGAGCTTAGAGGGGCACTGACAACCATTATCTCTGGAAATCTTTTTCCATGTTTTCATGGCTAAAGCCACTCTTCTAAAAAAACAAATCCCTTCTTTAAAGATATAAACATTTTCACTCTGGTTAAGATGAAGCCTCATGGTTTTTGGAGTCTGTTTTATATTGATTTTATGGATCAATTCACATGGTAACTTTATTTCTAACAGAATGAATTACTGTAGGCACCTTTTGTGGCCCCATGTACTACTTATAGCTAGTGGTTATAAGAAAAGCACAAATGTGGTATTAGAAATGAAATTTTAGGAGAATAGTTTTAGAGTGGTTCCTTGTATGGGAATCAATAAATATCTGTTGAATTTATAAGTAAGTGAATGCTGCTCATACTAGTTATAAAAAGAACTTAAAAAGAACTTTTCTTTCATGGTGAAAGAAAGGCAGGGGTAACTTCATATAGCCAAGATAACCTGGCATTGCCATCACTGGCTCAGAGCCCATGTACTTGGTCCATACTTGCCATTCTGACTCAGTTTTTTTGCTATCAGAGGGGAGGGATCACATCCAACTACCTTGTATGAATTGACCAGAGAATCATTGGGAAGGATCTGAGGAACCCAAAACAATATGAAATATTTCCAACTGTCTCAGTCCTGTCCTGCAGGAAGAAATGCTTCCTCTCTTCTTGCTTCTCCAGTGTTTCAGCACGAAGATTCTCCTTTTGTTCCCTCTCAACAGGAGTAGATAGAATGCAACACGGTGTTAATGAATGAGAGGCATCATGATAAGAGATAAAAGGGTAAGAAAATTTAGTGAAGAGAGCTTTGAAAATTAATTAGAAAAGAAGGGTAAATAGTTTTGTTAAATCCCAGAGCTGTAAGTAACCTACTTTTGAAGATGATGCGTGAATTTTTTAAAAACCTGTGCTAAATCAGTTTTATTCTACTGGGCTCTGATTATTTGCTTATCCTTTGATATATGATATTCTCTTTAGAGGCTTTAGCCCACTTGAAAACTTTACTACATTTTCAAAATGCATTATGACACCATGTTCTTCTTCGCTTTACTTTGTTTTAAGAAAGAACCCCGGTATAAAAGGAACAAATCATTTTTATTGTTTCTTTTTTTTTTTTTTTTTTACCCTGGTTCATTTTAATAACGCTTTTTCATCTTCATCAAGATTATGCTTGCCCAAGATAAAAGTCATTTTTTTGGTAATAAAATTAGTTCTTTTGGGTTAGCTGTTGTTACCTAGAGTTATACATCAGTAACAAAATTATTAATCCCATCAAAAAGGAGGCAAATGATATGAATAGACATTTCTCAAAAGAGATACAAATGGCCAAAAATGCTCAACATCACTAATCATCAGGGAAATGCAAACTGAAACCACAGTGAAATACCACCTTACTCCTGCAGGGATGACCATTATTAAAAAGTCAAAAAACAGTAGATGTTGGCGTGGATGTGGTGAAAAGGAACACTCATACACTGCTGGTGGGAATGTAAATTAGTACAACCTCTATGGAAAACAGTATGGGGATTTCTTAAAGAATTAAAAGTAGATCTACCATTTGGTATATCAATCCCACTATTAAGTATCTTCTCAAAGGAACAGGAGTCATTATATGAAAAAGATGCATGCACATGTGTGCTTATTGCAGCACAATTCACAATTGCAAAGATATGGAATCAACCTAAGTGCCCATTGATCAACGAGTGGATAAAGAAAATGTGGTATATATATACCATGGAATACTACTCAGCCATAAAAAGGAACAAAACAATGTCCTTTGCAGCGACTTGGATGAAGCTGAAGGCCGTTATTCTAAATGAAATAACTCAGGAATGGAAAACCAAGTACTTTATGCTCTCATTTATAAGTGAAAGCTAAGCTATGAGTAGGCTGTGCTGACAAATGGCAGGCTTCTTGACACATAGCTGAAGGCCCTGAAACATCAGGTATTTGTGGATCTTGGTCCACATATTCGTAGATATCAGCAGCAGAAGGTTGGCTTTAAAGAAATAATTAGGGACAATAGAGCCTTGGCAGACATGGGTAGCCTTGACTGGAACTATCAGCAGGAAAATAACGTACTATAGAGACACCAAGAGAACCGGTTGGTGAATATGTGAAACCTGGACATACAAAATCAATTTAAGGAGAAAGTTGGTATGTCCTTGGAAGTGGTGGCGACAGAGCCAGAGATGTTCTCTTCTGTAGCTGTTTTTGTGACATCATTTTTAACACTAGTCTGGGGCAACTTAGGGGGAACTCTCTACTTGTTGCATATTTGGTACATATATTGAGAAGTCATGTTTTAACTTTCTTTTTAAAGGTAAATTTGATATGTTTCTATTTTAAAAACCTAAAGTCAATTACTTTTTAAACAATATGGATTCTAGTTCATTAATCCCCAGTCAGTGGTTTTAAATGGAAAAACAGCTTCTCTGCTTCTCTTTAGAATCAAGTAATATGATTTTTCTTTATTATAGTTATGTGATTATTTTTTATGTCAGAGATAATACTCAACTGAAACAAACCTCCCCACCATGAGTAAAAAGGCATATGGAGTGTTAAAATGGACTTTGAAGACTCAGAGGTAAGGGGAGCTGGAGAGAGATCATATAAACAAAGATTATTTGTAGTTTGCAAATGGCCACCCCTAGAAAAATTTAAATTGTGGTGAATTAACTCATCTTTACTTTGTTACTCTATATTTTGATATTTAAATCTTGATTTATGTGTTAAAAAAATCATGACAGACTTGCTTAGCTTTTCAAAAACAAATAGTAGTTGCAAACAATTTTCTTTTTATTACGACTTAAAATTATGCTTTATAATTTTTTTTGTAATCTGTGTCACCTAAAAAGTAAATTCAAAAGTAAATTATTATGTACTTTTCAATCCTAAGGTACTATTTTGAATGGAAAGGGAAAAATACTACCCCATTTAATGAATACACTGATTGTAAAACACATCTCAGTTTTAGAACATTAAATGCATAAAAATGAGCATTTTGAAGTCAGCCATACCATGTAGTTTTTCTTCCTGTCAGAAATCAAGCCTGATTGTGTGGCCCTCCTTGCTATACAAGCATTTCCACATTTTTTCATTTAAATGTCTAGAATGGACACAGAGAATTTCAGCTGGTTTCTAAATATGACTAAATGAAAGGCTTGATTTCTTTACCATGAAGAAATGGCAGTACTTCGAATAACTCTCATCAAAGCTATGTTGGTTTCTTGTCTGCACATGTACAGGTTACACTGCCTCTTGGTTGAGCATTTCAGTATTGGTATTTTACTGCCACTCCATCATTTGGCTCTGATATATTTTCTGTTATCTGTCATTTCATACAGAGGTATGTCACAGCCCAGACATAACTCCAAAATGGAATAAAAGTATTATCTTTGGCTCAATGTTATTAAGTATCATGTTGGTCTAAAGTCTAGCTTATTCTCATCCATGCCATTCATTTTGTGTAGTGATCAGACTAATGTTTTACCATTATCTTAGTCTAGTGTTTTTTCAAAGTGTAGGTTAAGGGTAACTTGCACCAGAATCCCCTAGGTCCTGGCAGAAATAGTGATTACTGGACCCCAACGTCAACTTCCTGTTTTCAAATATCAAAGGCTAGACTTTAAAATACATATTTAACAAGCTCTCCAGGAGATTCCTATGTACACTGAGGTTTGAGAAGTCTGTATAGTGCACCATGGACTCAAGAGCAGGACTGTCTGGGTGTGAATTTTCTTTAAGAGCAGGTGACCTCAGGCAAATTGACTGAATTATTTGTGTTTCAGTTTCTTCCTCTGGAAAATAGGATGATATTATTGCCTTCCTTATAGGGATGTTTTTAGGATTAAATGAGTGAATATTTGTACAGTACTTAGAACAGTGTTTGGCATATAATAAATGCCATAAATATATGTATTTCTGAATCTATAAAGACCTTGTAAAAATAAAAGATCTTCATTTAACAAATATTCAGTGAACATACACTGTGCTGGACATGGGTTTGAGCCTGCAAATGCTTGCATTCCAGTGGAGGGGTAGCATTGCAAGGACATATGCACTCAGACCTTTAATAAAGATCGCCTGATTAATTCTCACAGTACTAGGAGGTAGGTAACATTATCCTTCTCTTTTTACAAAGGAGTGAAGAAAACCACAAAGAGATTAAGGAACTTGGCCAAGTTTGGACAGCTACTCAGTGACAGAGCTGGTAGTGAACATGGACAGCCAGGCTTCACCATGTGCCCATTTAACTTTGCTATCCTGAAGGGTGTATTCTATTAAAAGAAATGCTCGGGTGACCAAGGTTGTGTTGAAAACCTATCTGGAGGTCAGAAAAGAACTGGAGTACAAAAGATTCAAACTTAGTAAGTGGGTACAGTCTTCTGCTGAACTTCTCAGAAGATACCAGGGTGGGGAAGAAGGTTATTATACTTTGAGGGTTTGGCATAATGCTATTGTATTTACAATAAGTTAAGAGGCTCAAAAATTGTACTTTAAATAGACACAAGTTTAATTCGGTGTTAAATCTCATTTAAACTCTAGTAACTGAAAGATCAAACATTCTAATGGTGCCAAATAGCTAGGTTAAAGTCCTGTAGTCTATAATCAGTGTCCCCTGGTAGTCGAGCTGATCAGCAGGCTTTTGGGGTTGGGCTTTATTTCGTTTTCTTTTCTATTGAAAGAAGAAAGTCATTTAAGGTGTGGTATCTATGAATAGTACCTTGTATTTATATGAAACCTCTCTCTAAGGTGTTGAAAGACTTGATTCATGCCCATTCCCTTTCAGTTTTCGATGTGTGGTTAGAGGTGATGATTAACAATCAAGACTAGAAATAAATCAAGCATAAATTCCATGATTCTACTTGTTCAAAGGGGTTTTTCAATTATAGGCAAGAAGAGATCATGTGAGGTAATTCAATCCTTTGCTTCCAGAGAGAACTGTCTTTTTAGTGGCTGCATTTTAAATAATTTGTTAAGGAAAGAGAATGTTCAAAGTTTTGGACTATTGTGGTTGAACAGACAGGTCCCTGAAACCAAATTGAGGGAAGGAGACAAGAGGATTAGAATTTATATTTGCTGGTTGATATAGGCACTGAAGTATACATTTAGTACTCTTCAACTTTCTTTAGTATGAATTGCATTATCTTGAAGAATTCATAAAACAAACAAGTTAGTTTTACAAGAGGTTACAGAAACTTCCAGGTCTTTGTTAAAGGATATTTACCCATAAAACCCATGTAATTTTAAATTTAATGTAAATAAAATGTCTTTGAAAAGATCTTGAAACATGCATACTTTTTAACTGATAAAATGGAGACTTAAAGATATGTTTATTGTGTGGAGATCATATATCTATGTGTATATGTACAATATGTTCTAACTAATTCATCTTATAAAACATCCAAAAGACATTTTAAAAAGAAGAAATAAAATGGAAAAAGCAATATTTTAAAATAATTTTTAAATGCTTAAAAACTATAATGCTATCACTAAAAGTAGCATTTGCTATTATTTTGATGTGAATGGGCATGTCTCATTTTAGGAAGTATTCTGTGCATGGAGGTAGAGCTGGCTTTAGACAGAAGCAGTTTGACTCCAGTTCCTACAATCTTCACTGCCTTTCTCTGCTTTCTCCTCAAGGGTGTCACCATGTGGACAAAGCTTCACCAGATTTCCACATTTTTAAAGAAGTTTCAGAAACTTAGATTTTTATGTGAAATCTTTTGAATTTTAAATTTGCCCTATTTCAAACAATGGATGAGCAAAATGATACACATTTGGAGCTGGGTAAGGCCCACTGATCAATAGCACATGACCTCTGGTTTAGCTCTTTGTGTAATTTATTCAAGATGAACACTTTTTAAAAAGTAAACATCATCTTTACTGCTTAACAAGCTCTCCCTCTGTAATCTCTACTGTTTTATTTTTCAAGCGAATTAAAATCCATTCAACTCTTCAAGTCTCAGTGCCCACAATCGAGTCTAACTTCCTTTAACAAAATGTCAGATCTGCCATTTCCTGCTCCGTGCTCCACCCTCCCTTTGCATGTGATCGTCTTTTTATGATCTGCGAGGTCCTCTTCTCCTTCTTGTCCTCCTCATTAGTGCCTGTCCATTATTAGCACCCACTGGAATGTTGCCACTGTGTGGAGCCTTCTGAGTGAAGGATGTGGTGGTTATACAATTAACCAGAATGGAGATGCGGGAGGAAAAACCCAAATAAAAATCTCTCATTATAACTGATACCTAGTGACCTGGTTTGACCCACTCAATATCTTAAAAGTAAATTCAAATGAGACAATGTCCTTCGCTGGGACATGGATGGAGCTGGAAGCCATTATCCTCAGCAATCTACCAGGAACAGAAAACAAAACCAAACACCATACGTTCTCACTTATAAGTGAGCTGAACAATGAGAACACATGGACACAGGGAGGGGAACAACGCACACTGGGGCCTGTCAGGGAGTGGAGTCAGGGGAGGGAGAGCATTGGGAAAAATAGTCAATGTATGCTGGCTCAATACCTAGGTGATGTGTTGATAGGTACCAAAAACCACCATGACACACGTTTACCTGTGTAACAAACTTGCACATCCTGCCCATGTACCCTGGAACTTCAAATAAAAATAAAAATTAATTAACAAAAGTAAATTCAACAAATAGAATTGAGCTCTCCTTATGTGCCACTCCAGTGGGTACTAGAATGATGAAAATCAAAAACATGATCTCTACCTTCAAGTTGTTCACAGTCTAGAACAAACATGCCATCAAATATTGGAATACAGCAGTAAAAGTACTTTAATGGAGTTTGTTAGAATGTTCAGTTGGAAAATAGAAAAAGGAAAGGCCTGAGGAGCACATTTTAGAGGAAAGTCATGAGATGAAATGGGAGGAAAAATAGAAGCTTTTCATGGGCAGAATGAGGGGAAGGCATTTCAGGCAGAAGGAAGAGCAATTTCATGCAGAGGATGAACATGTTTACATAAGAAAACCTGGCATAGCAATGACATGTTGTTTCCTAGGATTAGAAATTCTTAACAATGTTTAGGTGACTACTATTACTGAATATTACTGTTAGCCTGTGCTGTAATTTATATGGAACTTGGCCATGAAATCATTTTCCCAAGGCTTCCTGTAATGAACTATGAGCCTCTTAGCTGAAGCCCATAATGACTCAACTGATAAATAATGCTTTTCAAGGCTCTGGACTGCATCCAAATTAAGGAAACATCTCTACCTATGCAAAGTCCTGTGTTAGAATAAGAACATACATTTTCTTGTGGGTTCTCTCTTGAGCAATTCCTTGGCTCAAACTATGAAAATTTCCACCCCACTCTCCCCATAACCTGCTGCATCAAGTCTCAGCAATTCCTTCAGAAAATTTAAATTAATTCAATGAAATTTTACTACAGATAATTTGTGGAACTGGAATAATTGTTCAATGTTGCTCTTTTTGCAGCATTTAAACTTTGAATTATTAAATTAATAATGGTCCTTAGTACCTCATTATAATATTATATGGCTTGCAGTTAGGTATGTGAAATACCCCAAACCATTAACAGCCCCTATAAATGAGTATTGTTGCAGCATAGAAAAATAGCATCCTCTCTCCTGTTATACTCAAATAATTGAGTGAGAAAACTGCTATAAATTACAAACGTTTTGTCATAAAAATTATATTTAATTAAAATATAGATTAAAAACTAGGACCAGCTTTTAGTAACCGGTATTACAAGCATCAAACATCTTGAATTTTCCCGATTCTCAAAAGATATGATTTAACCAGCAAGATGAACCTCCTTGGGGCAGACTGAATCAGCTCTTGAAAACTCAGTGAGCCATGCTGTTGCCATTCATGGTCGTCCCCATTAACTTTCCTTTTAGAATTAGGTCAGGCATGAGCATTGGCTGTGTAAGATACAAAATATCCTGGAAATAGTCAGGATAATTGTTGGTGAAGTGTTACTACATCCACTCTTGCCCCTCTCTTCTTTCCTTCTTTTTGTATAGTGTTTTTTTTTTTCTCTCCACTGATATATTAAGGCTTGCCTATGAAGCCCGAGGCGTTAATTCACTCTGAGAGTCAAGTTAGTTTAAATATCCCTGTTATAACCTTACAACCCACTGGAATCAGGGACCCTATCAATGTGCCTTGACCACCTATGGTGGTATCTAGTGCCTAGCAGAAAGCCTGCCATATTAACACTCAGTAACTCAACAACTCAACAAAGCATGTTAAATGTGAATGAAAATGCTTTTATTAGGCAGTTAACGCATTTGAAACACTGGCTGGGCTCTGTGCTTCTTTTAAAAAATTTTGTAAATATGGCTGAAAATTTATACATTTAACTCAGAGTGTGTATAATCATATCGTGTATACACACATATATCTACTATATATCACATATATATCTACTATATATGTGATATATAGTAGACACATCTACTATATATGTAGATATATGTAGTAGATATATAGTATATATATCTACATATATATGTAGATATATAGTATATATATCTACTATATATGTAGATATATAGTATATATATCTACTATATATGTAGATATATAGTATATATATCTACTATATATGTAGATATATAGTAGATATACCATATCTTATATATATTTTATATATACTATATATTAAAGTAGATATGATATATAGTAGATATATCATATATATGACATATATAGTAGATATATGTGTGTATATACTATATATAGTATATATATACTATATATAGACATACACATATATTACATATATAGTTGTGTGTATACATTTAATTAAAATATAGATAAAACTATATATGTGTGTGTGTGTGTATATATATATATATAGAGAGAGAGAGAGAGAGACAGTGTACCATATTTTATTTCAATCTGTAGTAGGGGTGCAGGGTGGGAGGAATGAGGACAACTTTCCAAATAAAATAAATTGCCTCACATAGTTACGATTTTTGTGATGAGAATACTTTACATCACTCTCTTAGCACGTTGCAAGAATACAATATATTATTAACTGTAGTCACCACTTTGCACAATATATCTCTTGAACTTATTTCTCCTATTTAACTGAAATTTTGTATCCTTTGCCCAACCCCCATGCTCCCCAACCACCTCAGCCTCTGGTAACCACCATTCTACTCTCTACTTTTATGAGATCAACTTTCTTAGATGCCACATCTGAGTGAGATCATACGGTATTTGTCTTACTGTGCCTGGCTTATTCAAAATATCATGTTGTATGCAGTAAATAGCTACAATTTTATCTGTTAAAAAAATCTTAAAGCAAGTTAGTGTTTCCCACCATATTACCATCCCTTTTTGTGGAAGGTGTAAATACTTCATCTTTCCTATTTTCTTCTATCTCTTCCTTTTCCAGATGGACTCTAAATAAGGAAGTTAAGTTTTATGTGCCTTCTTGTGATGAAGATGGATCCTCACACTTATACTGTGCTTTAAGGTAACGCAGGCTCTTATGTTGAAGTCCACAGCTGTGAAATATTGGTGAAGCTCCCATGTTGTTTGGCCATCTCTGTTGCCTCAGCCCAACCTTGCCTCTAACTGTGTTGTCAATCACAGTTGGGCTGTGGCTGGGCTGAAATTCCCACTCAGCACATTCATTTCGGGCATCTCATCTGCTAACCACCATTTTTATTCTGATGTGACAGCCCCGTTTTGTTTTCCTCTGAGGTAATTTCCTTCCAGTGTCTGAACAAAGAAGTTGGGTTAAAGGTTTCCCCATATCCCCTTTGACTGATTCTCCTTTTAAAACCTAATCCTTGCTCTCCGGTGCATGCTTTAGGTTTGAATCGTGAGGTTTGGGGGGCGGGGTTGGAATTTAGGTCACTGCCTGACCACTGTTTTCACTCCCTGTTCCCTTTCCTCCTCCTCCTCTAGGTCCAGAAAAGTTTTCTTGTTTTTCTTTTTCCTTTTTTTTTTTTTCGCCTTTACTGTATGTCAGTGACTTCTCCTAATGTCATATCCTCCTCATTCTGGGGGTAGCATCAAGGGAACACGATTTACACAGAGAAATAAGAACACATAAATTTAATATTTTCCAAGTATTATATATATGCTATTCATTTTACCCAAGAGAAAGCTAAAGCTGAAAGAGGTTAAAGTAAGTTGCTTGCAAAATAACAGAGCCTAGATACAAAGCCTGGCTATAAAGTATTATGATAACACTATGTAGTTTGGAGTTTCTGAGTGTTTTAATCCAAAATTAGGAGCTTATCTCTCTTTGCAATTTTATCGCCAGATATTGCTTCTTATCAAATTAGATCAAATTAAAAACTTAATTTGATAGCACTTCCTTTGTTTTTTATTTTTTTAGACGGAGTCTCACTCTGTCGCCAGGCTGGAGTGCAGTGGCACAATCTTGGCACACTGCAGCCTCCACCTCCCGGATTTAAGCAATTCTCCTGCCTCAGCCTCCTGAGTATCTGGGACTACAGGTGCGTGCTGCCATGCCTGGCTAATTTTTCTGTATTTTTAGTAGAGACGGGGTTTCACCATGTTGGCCAGGACGGTCTTGATCTTCTGACCTCGTGATCCTCCCGCCTGGGCCTCCCAAAGTGCTGGGATTACAAGCATGAGCCACTGCGCCCAGCCAATTTGATAGCCCTTTCTTAATCCCTTATAATGTTTGGCATGTGCGACCATAAGAAATTGCCCTAATTAATTAATTTGACAGAACATAGCTTGTATGCAAAAATGAATTAATGATTAGATAAAATTAAAATCTAAATTAGGGACACACATCTTCTACTTTTCACTCATGGTAGGGAGATTAGTTTCAGTTGAGTATTAAATCTGATATAAAAATAATCACATAACTATAATAAAGAAAATTCATATCATTTGATTCTAAAGAGAGGCAGAGAAACTTTTTCCATTTTAAACCACTGACTGGGGATTAATGAACTAGAATCCATATTGTTTAAAAAGTAGTTGGCTTTAGGTTTTTAATAATATCAAATTTACATTAAAAAAAGTTAAAACATGACTTCTCAATGTATACGACAAATATACAATACAACAGGTAGACTTTTTTCCCCCTAGGTTGTCCCAGACTAATGTTAAAAATAATGTCACAAAAAAAGTTGCAGAAGAGAACATCTCTGGCTCTGTCACCACCACTTCCAAGGGCATACCAACTTTCTCCTTAAATTGATTTTTTATGTCTGATTTCACATGTTCTCCACCAACTAGTTCTTTTGGTGACTCAGTAGTGCCTGTTATTTTCCTGCTGATAGTTTCAGTCAATGCCACCCACATCTGCCAACATTCTGCTGCCCCTGATTCTCTCTTTAAAGCCAACCTTCTACTGCTGATGTCTTTGGATACACAGGGCAAGACCCGCGAATGCCTGATGTTTCAGGGCCTTCAGCTATGTCTCATGAAGCCTGCCATTTGTCAGCAGAGACTACTTAACTGGCACCAATGCTGCTGATGCCCTGATCTCAAGGCACCATGGGGCTTTGATTAAGGCCACCCCTTTAAAATATCTATTATACTTTTAATGCAAAAATTTTAATGTAAACCTATGAGAGCTCAGCTGAAGAAATGTACTGAAAATAGACAACATATTATGTACAGAGATACTCTTTTCCTACAATATTTGCCTCATTGGTCCATTATCCAAATTTAGCACTTTCTTTCCTGAATTGATTACTTTCCTAGGAAGTTTTTAATTCCCTTATGGAAAATAGTATCTGGGAGCATATCTTAGGCTCAAGCAAAGACCTCTGTTGTCTTCCTTCCTATCCACCTACTTATATTTACAACTGCCTACTGGATATTTCTATTTCATATCCCACATTTTCCTTGAACTCAGCATGTCTGAATCAAACTCATCATCTCCTCCTGATCTTCCATCTGGTATTCTAGTTTCAATAAATAGGACCACCTTTCACCCAGTTACCTATATCAGAAACCTAAGCATTTCGTGTGTCTTCTTCCCAACCTTGCCATTGCTCCTATCTGCTACCTCCCAAATCCTATTCTTCTCCCTCTTAAATTCTCTAAAGTTCGTCCACTTCTCATTTTCACTATCTTGTGTCAGGGCATCATCTCTTGTCCATATTTCTACAATTACCTCCTAGTGGTTCTCCTTACAGTTTCTCTTGCCCCTCCTCTCCAATATGCTTTCTACATTGTATAGCCAAAATAATCTGCCAGAAAATGCAGTTTCATCATCTATTTCTTATTTAAAAATCTTAAATTCCTTCTTTTTGTTCTTAGTCCCAAACTGGTCTGGCCATAATAATGTCTTTTCCCTCTTGGAACTGCCATGTTATCTCTCATCCCCAGGCTTTTCCAAGTACTATTCTCTTCGCATGGAATATTTACTAAATTTTTGTTGGATAAATGACCAAATGAATGTTTTCCCAGAAGACAGTAAATTAAAGAACTAAGGAATAAAGAGATTCCCTAAATTTATTTATATTTAACTGAACAATTTTACTACATTAAAAAATGTCTGTAATGTTTTACAAACAAAAAGTAAAACTGAAATTGGCATCTCCATATGAAACTTGTGGATCTGTTTTCAGATCCTAGCTGGAGTGTTCAAGTAACTCTGTGGCTTGGACTGCATTGTGGTCCTCTTCTACCTGGGAGTATTCCCCTCTTTGACTTGGTTGACATCCTAAAGATGTAGCCAATCCTTATGGCAGGATGACAAATATAGAACAGTGAGGGAATCACTGGACACTTCACCAGCCAAATCCCTCAAATCAAATCTGGCATAAATGGAGTGACAGATGTCACTGTCAGATTGCTCTAACATCCTTGATATGACCTACCGCTAGATGCTCTAATTTCATTTCAAAAAGCCTGAGTAATCTTTACAAGTTTGAACAGTGAAAAAGAGAAAATAACTTTATAACTTGGCAAGGCCAGTGGCATGCAATCCCTTTAGAAACAGACCTAGAAACCCCATCATTTATAAGAGCATCTGGCTGCCATCTACAGGATGCTGGGCACAGGCCAACTTTGATAATTACATTCAGCTTGCCCACCTTCCCTAATCACTTCAATTGGACGATACATATTCAATTCTGCTAAAAAAAAAAATGCCAGGCATGATTGCTAGTCAATTCTATAAGGCAACTGGCTCGCCCTAGAAACTGTAGCCTTTTATAGGTAGGAGAAGTAAAATAATTGCACAATAAATTCAGAACTTTGGCTTAAAAATGGCAAATTATGAGACAATGAAACTGCCAATTATATTATTTAGGGAAATTTAAATATCCTAACTGGGATTGCCTTTGTAGTTTATTAAAGGAGAAAATATTCATTTTAACCTGATCTGACATTTCACTTTGGTTTTATGGTAATTACAGATTATAAAACCAGTGTAGTAGTATGCACTCAAGTGCATGCACATAGAAGGGATTTTGTTTGGTGTGAGCTGGATCCTATAAAGTCTAAAATATAATTCAAATAGCAGACAAAAGTTAATTACATCAGAGTATAAAAATCATTATTAAGCAGAAGATGTCACTTTTACTCACATTTCCCTAGGCCTCTTACATTTGAAGACTTAATGTAATTTTATTAAGAAACTTGACACTTTATTTGAAAGAGTTTGTGTTTCAACAACTAAACCATTTTTAAAAATTGGTTTTATTCTTCCATTCTGTTTTGAGAGTTTTTGAGACTGGAAGGATGTTTTATGGTTGGCTGCTGTTTTAAAAGAATTCAATATTCAAGGGAGGAAAACTTAGAAAGTATGGTGAATAACAATAATAAACACTTGAAGTTTGACCACATGCAGAGAAATGTTATGTGATTTGCCTACATTAAGTCACTCAGTCCTTATATTAATTCAATTGCATTGGTATTTTTAATATTCCTATTTTATAAATGGAAAAAATAAGGCACAGGTAAGTCAGTATCCCAGGGCCATATGGGCAGCAAACAGTAGAGGCAGGATTCAGATGCAGGGAATCTGGCTGTAGACTTCATGCTTTTAAACACCATGCTATACTGCCTTTCCCCTAAACACCAGAAGGAGCAATTGTTCTTTTTTTTTTTTTTTTTAAAGAGTAAAATATCACCTAGTGAATTTTATCTCAGAACTTTGATAATGTTCCTTTAGCAGTATCATTAATACCAGAAATGACATAAGGGATAGATTTGACCCACTGAAGACTCTCTTCTTCAGTGGACTTCATCTCCAGTGGATTAGAATAGTATGAACAGATCAGCTCAACTTGCCCACTTGAATGAATTACAAAATAGCATGATCTACATATATAAACATCTAACCCACTTACAGAAAAGTTTTGGAAACGTTTGCAGATTAGTTGAACAAGCACTCATAGTGCCTACAATGAGCCTACTATGCTAGGCTCTAGGAAAAATGAGTCAAGTCTAACTCACCCTTTAAGGGCCATATAGATTACTGGAGACACTAGGAATGTACATAATTACTTCTAATGAAAGTTATAGTGTAGTAAGTATTAAAGGAGGAGCAAAATAAAAATGCAAATAGAGCACAAGAGGAAACTTAGATGGGGGGTGGGGGGCTGACCATCAGAGAAGTTGCAGCAGACAGTGGACTTTTGAGCTAAGACCTTGCAATGATATTCCAGACAAAGTTATAAAAGGATCCAAGTCACAAGGCATAGGGGTAGTGGGAAGAGTTTTGGCAAATGAAAGAAGATATGTATGTTGAAGCTAGATTATGAAGAACATCGTGTATCTGTATTTTACACAGAAAGTGCATATGTGTACATTCAGCATAACATCTCAATGTGTACATTACATATTCACATAATTTTCAGTGGAGACATGTCTTTGTGTCTATTTCTATGGAAAAAAAATTATGCTCAATGTAGATAGCTCCTTATTCTAGAATAGTGTAAAAAAAAAAGGATAAAATTCTTTTTCAAACATGCAATCACTCTGTGACCTAAGTTTCCTTGTTAGAACATGGGAATAATAACATTTACCTCATCAGGAACCCTGTAAGATGTAATTAAATAATGCATGTAGGTCTTAGTTCCTTACTAACAGGTTCTTTAAAAACATGAACTATTTTCTCAGTCCTAAATATTATTTATTCTGTCAGCACAAGGGAAAAAGAGAGACAACTCAGAGACCCTCCTGTTTGAATTAGCTTGCCTAGTTAAGTGACCCAGCAAAGTGGGTCTAAAGTGACAACTTTAGAAACACAGAAAAAAAAAAAAGGTAACCTGTATCTAATACTAATCCTCCATCTCTCATTTACCTTTTAGAATCCTTTGCAATGTGTCAGTGGAGCAAGGCTCCATAAAGAAGCCATGCCACTTCACTGATGGGTATGCCATTAGGAGGAGAGATGGATTTTCTTCTCAAGGGAGTGAAATGGTGGCATGGTGAATGAATAGCCAGAGTTTCAACATCCTGACATGTCCCCTTTTGTATTAACCATTTGGTCTCATGGCATTTCCCTTTCAATTGGATAAAGTCATGTGTATGCTGATGAGAAGACTACGAGTCTCATGGGAACATAACTTTTTCCTTTATTGAATCTTCCTGTCCCTAGCAGGAAGATGTATAGAGTGAGAAAAAGAGACTAGTGCGATCCTCTCTTAGCCCAAATTTTCCATGGGAAAGAGTAAACAATTCCTTCTTATCACAATGTATCCTTATGAGAGAAAACATAAGGATAAAAACAGTAAACAACAAGGAAAACAAAACCTTGCACACATAGCTTCCTTGGGGAAAAAAAGTATTCAAATTAATTTTCTTTATCAAAACAAATGAAGGTTGAACTAAATAATTTTAACACTTTAAAAATATTTTTAATTTGCTACACATATTGTTGACTACTTCAACAATGAATATGATTTTGAGTCATTAACCTTTATATGGTGATACATCTTTAATAGGAATATTACATGGGAATGGAAACCAAGAAGTGGAAGTGCTTACTATCACAACCAATGAGCCACAACTCTGGACTCTGCAGAGTTGAGAGATCCTGGTTGCCAAGCAGGGAACAGGGTTTAAATAAGATTTCAGTGAATTATAAGCTATGACCTGGGTACTTCAGGCTCCTTGTGCCAAGGGACAAGCAGCAAAAGAGTAACCATCATCATGGCAGGGATAACTAATCCTGATCAACACAAGGAGGCAGGGCTGATGTGACACAATAAGGACAGAGAAAAATATATTTGGGTACCTCTTGGTACTCCCTTGTTGAATTTTATGGTGAATGGGAAAGTGCAGAAACCTCAATCTGCAAAAAGCATGGTGACCAGGGTCGCAGACTTCTCAGGGATGAGGGTCTGGGTAATGGTAGCAGATAAGGCATGTAGACCAGCAGAGATGCTAGTTGAAGATAAGAGGGATCTACAGTGGATAGTAAAGGAAAGAGACAATGAGATCACTTGAGGTCCCAAGATCAGCTGCAGTAGTGGCAGGTGTATTTCATCCTACTAACTGTACTCTTTTAGGTTCTTCCAGATATAGAATTCTGTGACAACCTTAGAGGAATTGCTGCAAAAATATATATGTAGTGAATCCAAGCAATGCAAGAAGTGGACTGTATATGCTTCCTCCTAAATGCTGAGGATGCTGTTGGCAAACAACCTCCAGTTATCTGTTTTTTCAAGGGTTGCCCCAGCTGTAGCGAGCCACCTTTCCCAAGGTCATGTCCCTTCCTAGTGTAGCTCATATCTAATGACTGTTCAATATGAGAATATAAAATTCTTGCCACTTTGACCCAACTAGGAGCAAACTTTAGCTCCCAAGATTGCTGTGATGTCAGCTGAGGTCTACTTTGGGCCTACATCACAGCTCAACTTCCATCTTTGCTCAGTCTTACTTCTTTCTCCTCTGTGGTACAAATTCTGCATGTTAAACTCTATCTTAGAAGAAACCCAGCTGGAGACATTCTTTGGTGGTGGTGGTGCTTGTGGTAGCAACGGTGCAAGTGGTGGTGACTTCCCAGGTGTTTCAATGTCAATTTTCTTGTGCAGAAATTGGACTGGTGGGCAAAAGCATTAGCAGCAGCAGTTTTATATGTTATTCTGTGGGCGACCACTGTTCATGGTAATTTTGTCATTAAGACAATTCCATGGCACGGTTTTAGCCATTCTGCCTAGAAGCTTAACCTCAAGTCTTATTCTGTAGGTCTTTCAACAATTGTTAGCTATCCAATATTCTTTTAATAAACTTCTGCTTAATCAAACTAAATCAGCTTCTGTTGTTTACAACAGACTGATATAATAATTTGTCTTAAATTCCAAAACAGTAGACATCTAATAGTTGTTGATACATTTCCCAGGACAGAACAATGACATAAGTATTATGTGTATAAATTAAATAATACTCCACTGAAGAGATGTTTCGGGCTGGCAATAGTGAGGGAGGATTGGCATGTTAGAGCTGGAAAATAAAGACAAGCAAGTTCAGTGATGCAAATAAAAAACAGATTGATGTAGCTGAAAAGAAAGAGAATAACAAATGAGAATGATGAGACAGGATTCTGAACCAATTAAATTATATTTATATTTTCAGAAAGATGAAATAAAGACCAAATCTCTGGATATATGGTAAGTTTTACTTTCATTAAATGGACATGATTTTAAAAATAGATATCTAGCTCTACTCCATGCCTAGCAGGGGATTAAGCTATAGTGAATTTGAGGGATAGCCTACAGTTTTCTGATAAAAACTGGCAATGGGTAGCATATGTGAATAAATACAGAAAGTTGCTGTTTCTCTTTTTCATTTATCAAAATGCTCTAATAGTAAAAATAAAAGATCTTCTTATATATAGTCAAGTTCTGGGTTAAAATAAGCATTGGATAATAATTGTGCTTTTACATTAAAATATCATCAAGGTACAAAAATAACAAGCCCACAATAAAGTTAAAATAAAAACTCACAAGGTAAAACGACATCATTTTGAACTTACTGTTTTTTTTTTCTGTTATATTTAAATGTCCCACACAGACACAGACCATTTTAGAGGATGTTCTATTTTCTCACTTGCAATGTTTTCTTTTCCTGGTTCATGAACCAGCATTTAATGGCATCCAATAGCAATAAAATAGTAGCTTTTAAATACCCATATTAGATGGTTTCCTAGGGAAATAGCTATGTGCTTGGATGAGTCTGGCACTATGCCTCAAATGTCAACAATATTGAGGGTGTGTCAGATTTCCAAAGATAAAATGTGTTCCAGACACCTAAGGATGGCTTGGCTTCCATCACTATGCAATTCAAACCTGGATGCTGTCAACAGAGGTACCCAGCTGTGCTTGCCTGCATGAATGAAATGGAGGAACAGAAGTCAATTTCAAAAGAAGCCAAGGATGAGGACCTAAACAATTTTAAAGAATGAATACAGAAGCTTGAGTTATAACCAGAAATAAGCCAATGGCTAGTATCAACCACTGAGCATGGGTGCAACATGTTTCTCTTGGCAGTGGGTAGAAACACCAGTCCCCTAAAGAGTCTTTACAGCTGTGGGCCCCTTTAAGATAGAAAGACCCAAGCTTTTTAAAATAAAGTAATACAGAAAGTAAAAGAAAATGAGATATGCTTTTGTGCCCTTGGTGCTGCTGCAGCAGAAACAATAAGACAAAGGGGTATTGTTATTCTTATTATTAGCAAAAATCATGACATGAAAGTAGAAGTAGACTCTTTTTGGTTATTATTTTATTCTTCTCCATAATTCTGAAAATAACAATTCAAAGAAAGTTAGGTATGTTGTAATGCTCTAATTTCCCTCATTATTTGGGGTAGACAAACGAGATAAGTACTTACCAGGCAAATTTGACTATATAAGCTAAGCAATCTTTCCTCTAAAAATAAAATAATAATAATAACCAGGGGCCGGGCACGGTGGTTCATGCCTGTAATCCCAGCATTTTGGGAGGTCAAGGCAGGTGGATCACTTGAGGTCAGGAGTTTGAGACCAGCCTAGTCAACATGGCAAAACTCTGTCTCTACTAAAAATACAAAAATTACCCAAGCATAGTGGCACACGACTGTAGTCCCAGCTACTCAGGAGGCTGAAGCAGGAGAATAGCTTGAACCTGGAAGGTGGAGGTTGCAGTGAGCTGAGATGGTGCCACTGCACTCCAGGCTGGGTGACAGAGTGAGACTCTGTCTCAAATAAATAAACAAACAAACAAACAAATAAAATAACCAGGAGAATTTAAGACAAAAGTAAAAATTCCATTTTTGATAAAATTAGGAGATGACATCATTTGGCTGTTTCCCCACATAAATCTCAACTCGAATCGTAATCCCCACATGTCAAGGGAGGGACATGGTGGGAGGTGATTGCATCATGGGGGCAGTTTTCCCCATGCTGTTCTCATGACAGTGAGGAAGCTCTCATGAGATCTGATGATTTAAAAGTGGCAGTTCCCCCTGTGCGCTCTCTCTGTCTCTCCGGCCCCTAGTGAAGAAGGTACTTGCTTCCCCTTCACCTTCTCCCATGATTGTAAGTTTCCTGAGGCTTCCCCAGCCATGAGAACTGTGAGTAAATTAAACCTCTTTCCTTTATAAATTACCCAGTCTCAGGTAGTTCTTTATGGCAGTGTCAAAATGGACTAACACAACATATGTCTACAGGGAATTTACTTTTTGAGCAAAGAACATACATATAAGTTAAAGAAATAGATACATTTAAAAAAGCAAATACAGAACATTGGTACCAGGAGTGGAGTGCTGCTATAAAGATAACATGAAAATGTAGAAGTGACTTTGGAAATGGGCAATGGGCAGGGGTTGGAACAGTTGAGAGGGCTCAGAAGAAGACAGGAAGATGTGAGAAAGTTTGGAACTTCCTAGAGACTTGTTGAATGATTTTGACCAAAATGCTGATAGTGATATGGATAATGAAGTCCGGGCTGAGGTGGTCTCAGATGAAGATGAAGAATTTATTGGGACTGGGGTAAAGGTCACTCTTGCTATGCTTTAGCAAAGATACTGGCAGCGAGTGTTTTGCCCCTGCCCTAGAGATCTGTGGAACTTTGAACTTGAGAGAGATGATTTCAGGTAATCGGTGGAAAATATTTCCAGCAGCAAAGAATTCAAGCAGTTACCTGGCAGATTCTGAAAGCATTCAGTCATATGCATTCACAGTGATTATCTGAAACTGCAACTTTTCTTTATAAGGGAAGCAGCGCATAAAAGTTTGGATAATTTTTAGCCTGACCATGAGGTAGGAAAGAAAAACCCATTTCCTGGGCAGAAATTCAAGCCAGCTCTAGAAATTTGCATAAGTAATAAGGAGTCAAATGTTAATAGCCATGACAAGGGGGAAAATCTCCCTAGGGCATGTCAGAGATCCTCAGTGCAACCTCTCCCATCACAGGCCTGGAGGCCTAGGAGGAAAATATGGTTTCATGTGCTGGGCTCAGGGTCCTATTGCTCTGTGAAGCCTCAGGATTTGGTGCCCTGTGTACTAGCTACTCCGTCTCCAGCTGTGGCTAAAAGGATCCAATGTACAATTCAGACCATGACTTCAGAGGGTGTAAGCCCCAACCCTTGGCAGCTTCCATGTGGTTTGGGGCCTGCAGGTACACAAAAGACAAAAGTTGAGCTTTGAGAGCCCCCATCCAGATCTCAGAAGCTGTAGGGAAATGTCGGGATGTCCAGGTAGAAGTTTGCTGCAGGGGCAGAGACCTCATAGAGAACCTCTACTAGGGCAATGCAGAGGATAAATGTTGGCTTGGAGCCCCTACACAGAATCCCTACTGTGGCACTGCCTAGCAGACCTGTGAGAAAAGGACCACCATCCACCAGACCCCAGAGTGGTAGATCCACCAACAGCTTGTACCACACACTTGGAAAAGCTGCAGGCACTCAATGTCAGCCCATAAAAGCAGCTGTGGGGGCTGTACCCTGCAGAGCTCAAGGCCTTGGAAGCCCACCCCTTGCATCAGCATGCCCTGGATGTGAGACATGGAGTCAAAGGAGATTATTTTGGAGCTTTAAGATTTAATGACTGCCCTGCCAGATTTCAGACTTCCATGGAGCCTATAGCCCCTTGTTTTGGTCAATTTCTCCAATTTGGAATGGGAATATTTATCCAATGCCTGTACCCGCATTGTATCTTGGAGGTAACTAACTTGCTTTCCATTTTACAGGCTCATAGGGGAAGGGATTTGCCTTGTCTCAGATGAGACTTTGGACTAGGACTTTTGAGTTAATGCTGGAATGAGTTAAGCCTTTGGGTGACTATTGAGAAGGCATGATTGCTTTTGAAATGTGAAAAGCACATGAGATTTGGCAGGGGCTGGGGTGGAATAATATAGTTTGGCTCTGTGTCCCCATGCATATCTTCTCTTAATTGTAATCCCCATGTGTCAAGGGATTGACCTTGTGGGAGGTGACTGGATCATGGAAGCATTTTCCCCCATGCTATTCTCATGATAGTGAGAGAGTTCTCCCGAGGTCTGATGCTTTAAAAGTGGCAGTTTCCCCTGTGCTCTCTCTTCTGCTGCCTTGTGAGGAAGATACTTGCTTCTCCTTCACCTTCTGTCATGATTATACGTTTCCAGAGGCCTCTCCAGCCATGCAGAACTGTGAGTCAATAAAACCCCTTTCCTTTATAAATTACTCAGTCTCAAGCAGTTCTTTGTAGCATGTGAAAACAGACTAATATACGATAAAAATTTCAGGATATATTTAAGAGCTTCTAAAAGCTTCCATTAAATATAGAAGCCAATAAGAGAAAGTGGAGATAAGCTGAGGAAAGAATCCAGAAGCTGCAGAAAGTCCTAGGAAAAACACGTTTCCTGTGGGTGATAGGTATACTTGAGTGCACAAAAAACAATGCCCTTTAACTGGGCCAACAAATGAGAAAAATATTGAGCAGCTTAATCTAAGAAGTCACTCAGGATCAAGTTACAATCAGAGAAGCAGGGGAGATCTATGACATGAAAATGACATTTGCAGGAAGAAGTCTGTCTTTGTGTTAATTTAGAAGAAAGCAATTAGGTTATAAAAGCATCTTAAAATTCTACTCTGTCCCAGCAACCAAGAATTTCTTGCAAACACTATCCAACTCATTCAAAACACAGGTAACAATAATAATTAGCAAAGGGCTGATGCAATTCATTTAAAGGCAAGTATAAAAAGTAATTAGCACATTATCCAAAAAATAAGCTATAAAGAAAAAGGAAGAATAGATTAGCAAAATTTTGAAATAAATAAGGAATACTCCAGAAAAAAAATGTTGATATGGAACAAATAAAGAGCTTACACCACACTTTGAGTGGCTGAGGTGGGCGGATCATGAGGTCAGGAGATCAAGACCATCCTGGCTAACACGGTGAAACCCTGTCTCTACTAAAAATACAAAACATTAGCCAGGCGAGGTGGCGGGCACCTGTAATCCCAGCTACTTGGGAGGCTGAGGCAGGAGAATGGCATGAACCCCGGGGGGCAGAGCCTGTAGTGAGCCAAGATGGTGCCACTGCACTCCAGCCTGGGCGACAGTTAGACTCTGTCTCAGAAAAAAAAAAAAAGCTTAGACCAATCTTTGTTCCCAAATTAAAACAAAATAAGCAAATAACAAAATTTAATGAAACTATTGCTTCTATGAAGGAAAATGCAACAATATAGCAAAGACGCTGGAAGTCAGGGAACAGATGGCAAGAAAACAGCAAGACATGAAATTATATTGGCTAAACATAGAAAATAAAAGGCAAAAATAAAATTAACAAAGAAATAAAAAGGATATGAGAAAGAATGCAAAAGCAAAGGGACACTGTAAAAAACATAGATGATAGAAGCAAGAGAAAGAGAGAAGGATAGAAAATGAGATAGAATTTAAAAAATAATTAAATAGAAAAAATACATAAAAAGACAAAGATGGTGCAACATACACATAATTGGAATTCCTAAAAAACCTAAATCAAGATAAAAGTACAGAACAAATATTTAAATATAATTCAAAGAAATTTTCTTGAAATTATAAAGAAGGCTTGGATGTGTCTGTGTGTGTGTGTGTGTGTGTGTGTGTGTGTGTGTGTGTGTGTGTAAGACACACCACATGCCAGGAAAAATTAATCTAGAAAAGTCAATATTGAAAAATAACTGTAAAACTTGCCATATTATGCTTCTTCAACCTCCACAGCAACATTTAATGTCAGAAGACAGTGATCTAAACAATCCTATAAAGAAAAAAAATATAACTGAAGGAATCATTTTCTGGCCCAACTGACTTCCAAGTATAAGGGCCATAGACAAACAGTTTGCAATAGTCAAGAAACCAGATAACATTACTTCCACTAATCTTTCTTGAAAAAACTACTGGAGAATAAGTTTAGCTATTATGATATGATGCACATTGAACATACTTAACAATACACCTAAGGCTAAGACAAATGTGGGGTTTACAGTGACACATCAGTGTAAATATTGTATGTCCTATAAATAAGAAATATCACTGACAAAAATTGGAAGGAGCAAGGAGGAAAAAGACAGATTAAGCATCCTGATTGCCTTATCTCAAATCACTGGAAATAAAAAGAAATTAAAAATTAACAAAGTAATAGAAGTATATGCACATCCACTAGCATAAAACTAAACACAACAAACCATACTACTACTGAATAGTATAAAGTGTGGAAGGGAAAGAGAAGATGAATAGGAAGAAAAGATTTGCTAAATTTATTTATTTTTCTTGCTAGGGAACTAATAAACTATACATACACAAGCACACACACACAAACAAATACACACATGTGAAAGAAAACAAACCGCATATTGAAAGATAAAGTGATGATGGGTAGGGAGTTCCAAGATGGCCGAATAGGAACAGCTCCAGTCTACAGCTCCCAGCGTGAGTGATGCAGAAGATGGGTGATTTCTGCATTTTCAACTGAGGTACTGGATTCATCTCACTGGGGCTCATCAGACAGTGGGTGAAGGACAGTGGGTGCAGCCCACTGAGTGTCAGCTGAAGCAGGGCGAGGCATCGCCTCACCCAGGAAGCCCAAGGAGTCAGGGAATTCCCTTTCCTAGCAAAGGGAAGGGAGACAGATGGCACCTGGAAAATCGGGTCACTCCCACCCTAATACTGCACTTTTCCAATGGTCTTAGCAAGCAGGACACCAGGAGATTATATCCCGCGCCTGGCTTGGAGGGTCCCACACCCACGGAGCCTCACTCATTGCTAGCACAGCACTCTGAGACAGAACTGCAAGGTGGCAGTGAGGCTGAGGGAGGGGCGCCCACCATTGCTGAGGCTTGAGTAGGTAAACAAAGTGGCCTGGAAGTTCGAACTGGGTGGAGCCCACTGCCGCTCAAGGAGGCCTGCCTGCCTCTGTAGACTCCACCTCTGGGGGCAGGGCATAGCCGAACAAAAGGAAGCAGAAACCTCTGCAGACTTAAATGTCCCTGTCTGACAGCTTGGAAGAGAGCAGTGGTTCTCCCAGCATGGAGTTTGAGATCTGAGAATGGACAGACTGCCTCCTCAAGTGGGTCCCTGACCCCCGAGTAGCCTAACTGGGAGGCATGCCCCAGTAGGGGCAGACTGACACCTTACATGCCCAGGTACCCATCTGAGACGAAGCTTCCAGAGGAACGATCAGGCAGGAACATTTGCGGTTCAGCAATATTCGCTGTTCTGCAGCCTCTGCTGCTGACACCCAGGTAAACAGGGTCTGGAGTGGATCTCCAGCAAACTCCAACAGACCTGCAGCTGAGGATCCTGACTGTTAGAAGGAAAACTAACAAACAGAAAGGACATCCACACCAAAACCCCATCTGTACGTCACCATCATCAAAGACCAAAGGCAGATAAAACCACAAAGATGGGGAAAAAACAGAGCAGAAAAGCTGAAAATTCTAAAATCAGAGCACCTCTCCCCCTCCAAAGGAACGGAGCTTCTTGCCAGCAACGGAAAAAAGCTGGATGGAGAATGACTTTGAGGAGTTGAGGGAAGAAGGCTTCAGACGATCAAACTTCTCTGAGCTAAAGGAGGAAGTTCGAACCCATTGCAAAGGAGCTAAAAACCTTGAAAAAGATTAGACTAATGGCTGAGTAGAATAACCAGTGTAGAGAAGTCCTTAAATGACCTGATGGAGCTGAAAACCATGGCATGAGAACTACGTGATGAATGCACAAGCTTCAGTAGCCAATTCAATCAACTGGAAGAAAGGGTATCAGTGATTGAAGATCAAATGAATGAAATGAAGTGAGAAGAGAAGTTTAGAGAAAAAAGGTTAAAAAGAAATGAACAAAGCCTCCAAGAAATATGGGGCTATGTGAAAAGACCAAATCTACATCTAATTGGTGTACCTGAAGGTGACGGGGAGAATGGAACCAAGTTGGAAAACACTCTGCAGGATATTATCCAGGAGAACTTCCCCAATCTAGCAAGGCAGGCCAACATTCAAATTCAGGAAATACAGAGAATGCAACAAAGATACTCCTCGAGAAAAGCAACTCCAAGACACATAATTGTCAGATTCACCAAAGTTGAAATGAAGGAAAAAATGTTAAGGGCAGCCAGAGAGACAGGTCGGGTTACCCACAAAGGGAAACCCATAAGACTAACAGTGGATCTCTCGGCAGAAACTCTACAAGCCAGAAGAGAGTGGGGGCCAATATCCAACATTCTTAAAGAAAAGAATTTTCAACCCAGAATTTCATATCCAGCCAAACTAAGCTTCATAAGTGAAGGAGAAATAAAATACTTCACAGACAAGCAAATGCTGAGAGATTTTGTCACCACCAGGCCTGCCCTAAAAGAGCTCCTGAAGGAAGCACTAAACATGGAAAGGAACAACCAGTACCAGCCACTGCAAAAACATGACAAATTGTAAGGACCATCGATGCTAGGAAGGAACTGAATCAACTAATGAGCAAAATAACCAGCTAACATCATGATGACAGGATCAAATTCACACATAACAATATTAACCTTAAATGTAAATGGGCTAAATGCTCCAACTAAAAGACATAGACTGGCAAATTGGATAAAGAGTCAAGATCCATCAGTGTGCTGTCTTCAGGAAACCCATCTTACGTGCAGAGACACACATAGGCTCAAAATAAAGGGATGGAGGAAGATCTACCAAGCAAATGGAAAACAAAAAAGGCAGGGGTTGCAATCCTAGTCTCTGATAAAACAGACTTTAAACCAACAAAGATCAAAAGAGACAAAGAAGGCCATTACATAAGGGTAAAGGGATCAATTCAACAAGAAGAGCTAACTATATTAAATATATATGCACCCAATACAGGAGTACCCAGATTCATAAAGCAAGTCCTTAGAGTTCTACAAAGAGACTTAGACTCCCATATAATAATAATAGGAGACTTTAACATCCCACTGTCAACATTAGACAGATCAACGAGACAGAAAGTTAACAAGGATATCTGGGAATTGAACTCAGCTCTGCACCAAGTGGACCTAATAGACATCTACAGAACTCTCCACCCCAAATCAACAGAATATACATTTTTCTCAGCACCACATTGCACTTATTCCAAAATTGACCACATAGTTGGAAGTAAAGCACTCCTCAGCAAATGTAAAAGAACAGAAATTATAACAAACTGTTTCTCAGACCACAGTGCAATCAAACTAGAAATCAGGATTAAGAAACTCACTCAAAACCGCTCAACTACATGGAACTGAACAACCTGCTCCTGAAGGACTACTGGGTACCTAACGAATTGAAGGCAGAAATAAAGATGTTCTTTGAAACCAATGAGAACAAAGACACAACATACCAGAATCTCTGGGACACATTTAAAGCAGTGTATAGAGGGAAATTTATAGCACTCAGTGCCCACAAGAGAAAGCAGGAAAGATCTAAAATTGACACCCTAACATCACAATTAAAAGAACTAGAGAAGCAAGAGCAAACACATTCAAAAGCTAGCAGAAGGCAAGAAATAACTAAGATCAGAGCAGAACTGAAGGAAATATGGAGGAAATGGATAAATTCCTGGAAATGCACAACCTCCCAAAGTTCAACCAGGAATAAATTAAAACCCTGAACAGACAATTATCAAGCTCCAAAATTGAATCAGCAATAAGAAACTCGCCAACCATAAAAGGCACTGGACCAGATGAAATTCATAGCCAAATTCTACTACATGTACAAAAAACAGCTGGCATCAATTCTACTGAAACTAATCCAAAAAACCAAGGAGGAGGTATTCCTCTCTACTGATTCTATGAAGCCAGCATCACCCTGATACCAAAAACTAAAGACAAAACAAACAAATAAAAAACCAACAAACTACAGGCCAACATTCCTCATGAATGTAGACACAAAAATCCTCAACAAAATACTAGCAAACAGAATTGAGCAATACACGAAAAGTTAATTCACCACAATCAAGTAGGCTTCATTCCTGGAATGCAAGTTTGGTTCAACATATCCAAATCAATAAATGTGATTCACCACATAAACAGGATTAAAAACAAAACCGTATGATCATCTCAATACATACAGAAAAAGCTTTCAATAAAATCCAGCATCCCTCCATGACAAAAATTCTCAATAAACTAGGCATGGAAGGAACATAAGTCGAAATAATAAGAGCCATCTATGACAAACCCACAGATAATATTATACTGAATAGGAAAAAGCTATAAGCATTCCCCTTAAGAACTGGCACAAGACAAGAATGCTTAATTTCACCACTCCTATTCAACATAGTACAGGAAGTGCTAGCCAGAGAAATCAGACAAGAGAAAGAAAAATAAAAGTATTCAAATAGGAAAAGAAAAGGCCAAACCGTCTCTCTTTGTGGATAATATGATTCTATACCTAGAAAACGCTACTCTCTCTGCCAAAAGGCTTCTGGAAATGATAAGCAACTTAAGTAAAGTTTCAGGATACAAAATCAATGTACCAAAATCAGTGGTGTTTCTATACACCAATAATGTTCAAGCTGATTGCCAAATCAAGAATGCAATTCCATTTACAATAGCCACACACACACACAAATAAAATAAGTAGGAATATACCTAACCAAGAAGGTAAAAGATCTCTACAAGGAAGGCTACAAAACACTGCTGAAAGAAATTATAGATGACATAAACACATGGAAAAAAATTCCATTTGTCATGGTCTAGGAGAATCAAAATTGTTAAAGTGGCCATACTGCCTAAAGCAATCTACAGATTCAATGCTATTTCTATCAAACCACCAAAGTCATTTTTCACAGAATTAGAAGAAATTATTCTAAAATTCATATGGAACCAAAAGAAAGTCCAAATCGCCAAAACAATCTTAAGCAAAAAGAACAAAGCTGGAGGCATCACATTACCAAAATTAAAACTATATTATAATGCTACAGTAACTACAACAGCATGGTATTGGTACCTAAACAGACATATTGACCAACTGACAGAATAGTGAACCCAGAAATAAAGCCACACACCTACAGCCATCTGATCTTCAACAAAGTTGACAAAAATAAGCAATGAGTAAAGGACTCCATATTAAATAAATGGTGCTGGGATAACTGGCTAGCTATATGCAGAAGATGAAACTGGACCCCTACTTTTCACCATATATAAAAATTAACTCATGATAGATTAACGACTTAAATGTAAGACCTCAAACTATACGAATCCTAGGAGAAAACCTAGGAAGTACCATTCTGGACATAAGCCTTGGGAAATAATTTATGACTAAGTCCTCAAAAGCAATTGCAACAAAAACAAAAATTGTCAAATGGGGCCTAATTAAACTAAAGAGCTTCTGCACTACAAAAGAAACTATCAACAGAGTAAACTGATGACCCACAGAATGGGAGGAAATATTCACAAACTATGCATCCAACAAAGGTCTAATATCTACAATCTGTGAGGAACTTAATTCAATAAGCAAAAAATACATAATCCCATTAAAAAGTGGGCAAAAGACATGAACAGATACTTCTTAAAAGAAGACAAGCAAGTGGCCAACAAACATATGAAAGAATGATCAACATCACTAACTATCAGTGAAATACAAATCAAAGTACCATGAGATACCATCTCGCACCAATCAGAATGGCTATTATTAAAAAGTCAAAAAACAACAGATGCTGGCAGAGAAAAGTGAATGCTTATACACTGTTGGTGGGAATGTAAAGTAGTTCAGTAACTGTGGTAAGCAGTATGGAGATTTCTCAAACACTTAAAACAGAATTACCATTCAACTTAGTAATTTTATTACTAGGTGTATATTGAAAAGAAAATAAATTATTCTACCAAAAAGACACATGCACTCAAATGTTCATTGCAGCACTAATCACAGTAGCAAAGACAAGGAATTCACTTAGGTGCCTAACAGTGGTATATTGGATAAAGAAAATATGGTGCATAATACCATAAAATTCCACACAGCCATAAGAACGAATGAAATCCTGTCCTTTGTAGCAACATAAATGCAGCTGGAGGCCATTATCCTAAGTGAATTAACACAGGAACAGCAAACCAGATACTGCATGTTCTCACTTATAAGTGGAGGCTAAACATTAGTTACTCATGAACATAAATCTGGCAACAATAGACACTGGGGACTACTAAGGGGGAGGAAGAAGAGGGAGGCAAGGGTTGAAGAAAAATTTAAAACACTTGTGAGTTACACGAAAACTTATGCCACTGTGAAGTGAGTCTATGTTCTTGGATAAGAAAACCCAACTTTGTAATAATTTTAGTTAATTTAATTATTTTTAAATTAATTAGTTTGTAAAGTAATTTATAAATACAACACAAAAATATTAATTATTAATATTTTTTCACATTTAGATAAGGTGAAGATTTTACATCAAAATAAAATACAGGTATACCTTTTTATTGCACTTTGCTTTATTGCATTTTGCAAATTTAATGTTTGTGGCAACTCTGCATCAAGCAAATCTATCGAGGTCATTTTTCTAACAGCATTGTGTTTACTTCATGTCTCTGTGTCACATTTTGGTAATTTATGCAATATTTCAAACTTTTATTATTATTATATTTGTTATAGTGAGCTCTGATCAGTGATATTTGATGTTGGTATTGTTTTGTAATTGTTTTGAAGTGTCACAAACTGTGCCCATATAAGACTGAACTTAATCGACAGATTGTATGTTCAGATTGCTCTACCAAGAGATCATGCTTTTGTCTTTCTCCCTCCCCTTAGGACACCCCTATTTCCTGAGATATAACAATATTGAAATTAGGCCAATGAATAACCCTACAATGGCCTTCCTGTTCAAGTGAAAGGAAGAGTTGCATGTCTCCAACTTTAAATCAAAAGCTAGAAATGTTTAAACTTAGTAAGGAAGGCACACTGAAAGCCAAGTTGTAGGCCTCTTGCATCAGTTAGCCAAGTTAGGAATGCAAATAAAAAATTATTGAAGAAAACTAGAAGTGCTACTCTAGTGAACACATGAATGATAAGAAAGATAAACAGCCATATTGCTGATATGGAGGACATTTTAGTAGTCCAGTTAAAGATCAAATCACCCACAGATTCTATTACATCAAAGTCTACTTCAGAATAAGGCCATAATTCTCCTTAATTCTATTAAGGCTGAGAGAGGCAAGGAAGCTGCAGTGAAAAAGCTAGCAAAGGTTGGTTCATTTCACGAGGTCTAAGGAAAGAATCTATCTCCATACATAAAAGTTCATGGTGAAGCACCTAGTGCTTATGCAGAAACTGTAGCAGGTATGTAGCTAAGGTAATGATGAAGGTGGCTACACTAAACAACAGATTTTCAATGTAGACAAAACAGTCTTGTATTGGAAGAATATGCCATTGAAGATTTTCATAGCTAGGGGAGAAGTGAATGCCCAGCTTCAAAGTTTTGAAGGACAGGCTGACTGTGTCTTGGTAGGGGATAATGCAGCTGTTGACTTTAAATTGAAGCCAGCCCTTATTTACCATTCTGAAAATCCTGGCACCCTTAAGAATCATGCTAAATCTACTCTGCCTGTTCTCTGTAAATGAAACAACTTAGTCTGGATGACAGCACATCTATTTACAGGATGGTTTACTGAATATTTGAAGCCCACCATTGAGACCTACTGCTCGGAGAAAAGATTTCTTTCAAAATATTACTGCTCATTGATAAGAGCTCTGATGGAGACGTACAAGAAGATTAATGTTGTTTTCATGCCTGCTAACACAAAATTCATTTTGCAGCCCATATATCAAGGAATAATTTCAACTTTCATTATTTAAGAAATATATTTTGTGAGGCCCTGGCTGCCACAGAGAGTGATTTCTCCAATAAATCTGGGCAAAGTAAATTGAAAACTTTCTGGAAAGGATTTGCCATTCAAGATGCCATTGAGAATATGTGTAATTTATGGGAGGAGTTCATGATATCCACATTAAAAGGAGTTTGGAAGAAATTGATTTAAACCTTCATGGATGACTTAGATGGTTTCAAGATTTCCATACAGGAAGTAACTGCAAATATGGTGTAAACCACAAGAGAATTAGAAGTAGAGTCTGAAGATTTGACTGAATTGCTGCAATGTCATGATAAAATCTGAACAAATGAGGAGATGCCTCTTATGAGTGAGCCAAGAAAGTGGTTACTTCAGATGGAATTTACTCTTGGTGAAGATGCTATGGACATTGTAGAAATGACAACAAAAGAGTTAGGATATCACATGAACTTAGTTACCAAAATATCTCTTCTGTTCTATTGGTCTTGCTGTATGATCATGCTTAATACAGTGCTATTTTAATTAAAAGCTTTATAGTATGCTTTAATATCTGTCAGGATTGTATTCCTCATTGTTCTTCTTTCACAAAGTTTTACTGACATTTCTTGTTTGTAGGTATACCTCAGAGATATTGTGGGTTTGGTTCCAGACCACCACAATAAAGCAAATATTGCAATAAAGTATGTCACACAGTTTTTTTTGTTTCCCAGTGCATGTAAAAGTTATATTTACACTATATTGTAGTCTATTATAAAGTGTGGAATAACATTATATCTAAGAAAATAATGTACATATCTCAGTTAAAATATACTATATTGCTAAAAAATTCTAGTGATCATCTGAGCCTTCAGTGAGTTGTAATCCTTTTCCTGGTGGAGATCTTGCTTCCATGTGGATGGCTGCTGACTGATCAGGGTGGTAGTTGATGAAGGCTAGGGTGACTGTGGCAATTTCTTAAAATAAGACAATTATTAAGTTTGCCACATCAATAAACTCTTCCTTTCATGCAAGATTTCTCTTTGGCATGTGATATAGAGTTTATACCATTTTACCCACAGTAGAACTTATTTCAAAATTGGAGTCAATCCTCTCAAATCTTGCCACTGCTTTATCAACTAAGCTCATGTGATATGTAAGGCATCTCAAGTAATTGGGAAAAACAGACTGTTGAATTAATGGCATTGTGACGTTGTGGGTAACATCTGGAAAAAATTAAATTATGTCCATATTTGATACTGCATACCAAGATAACTTCCAAAACAATAAAAATGTTAATGCAAAAACCAAAATGTTAAAAAACAATGCAAGAATTATTTTATAACCTCAAAGTGAAGATGACCTCTGTAACTATGACACAAATTCCAGAAGCCACAAAAGAGTAGCCTAATATATTCACCTCTGTAAAACTTGTAACAACAACAAAAAACTTCTGTATCATGAAAACACTAAACAGAAAGTAAAAACACATAACAAACTGGGAAAGAATTCTTTTAATTTTTTTTGACAAAAGGCTAAGCTCCTATGTATGTAAGAGCTCTTATTGGTTAATAAGAAAGATAACAACCCAGAAGAAAAATAAAGATTTTTATGAACAGATGTTTTACAGAAAGTTAACTGCAAATGACTCTTGAGCATATAAAAAGATGTTCTTCACTCCTGATAACAGAAATATAACTGAAAACTATATTGAGATATATTTTACCTATCAAATTTGCAAAATTAAATTTCAAAATTTGCTAACACAGCATTGGTGAGGAAGTAGGAAACAGATGCTTTCATACATTGATTGTGGAATGGCAGATTGGTACAATATGAAGAAGTGGCACTTTGGCAGTGTATATTGCAACAGTTTATATCCATCAATCCAACAAATCCACTTCTAAGAACTTACCTGAGAGGTTTACTTGCATATATGCAAATAAAGATGTACAAGGATATATGTGTAAAACCGTGCAGCCCTATTTGTGACAGCAAATATGTGTAAACAACCTTATTTTCATCTATACAGAAATAGTAAAATAAATGATATACCAAACCAAATACTATTTAAATGTTTTTAATTCTCATGTATTAACATGGGGAGATTGTCAAGATACATTTAATGGGGAAGAAAGGCAAATTCATAACAGTCTAGTACAATACCATAATGTAGAAGTGTGCGTGTGTGTTTTCCTTATTTAAAAAAGAGTATCTGAAAAGATGAAGAAACTAGGTTGGACGCAGTGGCTCAGGCCTGTAATCCCGGCACTTTGGGAGGCTGAGGCAGGTGGACAGCTTGAACCCAGAAGTTTGAGACCAGCCTGGGCAACACCCTGTCTTTACAAAAAGCGGAAAAAGATAGGTGGGTGCGGTGGCACACGTCTGTAGTCCCAGCTACTCAGGAGTCTGAGGTGGGAGGATCCCTTGAGCCTGGGAAGCAGAGGTTGGAGTGAACTGAGATCCTGCCACTGCATTCCAGCTGAGGCGACAGAGCAAGACCTTGTCTCAAAACCAAACCAAACCAAACCAAATAAACCAAAAAAACTAGGAGTGATTACCCACAGGAAGACAGATGAATGCAGATGGTAAACAGGAAGGGAAGAAAACTTTTCACCACTTATCTTTTATACTTCTTGATATTTGTTTCATGCTTATTAAACAGTAGCAGTTTATTAAATAAAATAATTTTTAAAACTGAGATATATATTCCCAGTTTGCCACAATATTACAAAACTTAATTTTCTGAAATGTAATCTAGTTTTGATATTCATTTATAAACCTGAAGTGGTATGGCACACTTTTATATCTTTATGTTTTTTCCTTGGCCCTCTGCAGGCTAGATTCCACTGAATTTGCTCTTTCAAAACTCACTAAAAGCTTCCTAATTCCCAAATCCAATAACGACTTTTCAGTTCTCCTCTCATTTGAATTCCCTTCTGTGCTGGATGCTGCTGTCTATCCCCTTCCTTACTGAAACACTGCCCCTTTGTTAGTACTTTATCACCTACTAAAGTCCTGGCTCTCCTTCCTAGCATTCACTCTCCCTTGAGCTCTACGAATAGCAGGATAAGAATAAGATTGTTTTCAATTGTCTTTCCTGATTAAATACCTTACCACTCTTGACATTGGCTGGAGCTTGTAATACTTACTGGGTAAAGCACTTAATTATCAAAAGCCCTCTTGCCAAAAACTAAAGATTATCTTTGGTTGAAGAGGTAGGAAATAATTAGGAGCTTTGTTATTTCATTTCCTTCAAGTTAACTATTCTCTGTTTTGAAGGTGGTACACAGAGTACTTAGAAGCAGTAGAATTGGAGCCCGGGACTTGAGAGGAACAGCCTTTGAAACCAGATTACCTGGGCTCAAAGTCCAACCTCATTCCTCACTAGTGTGCAACCTTCAGCAAGTTATTCATTAACTTTAGCTAAGTGAGTTACTACAACTGTGCCTGTGTTGCTTACTTCTCCCTAAAATGGAGAAGCCATGATAGTACCTAATACATTGCACTCTTGGGTAGTATTTATGAGGGAATAGATGTAGAATCACTTTGAACCATTCCTGGCATCCAGGCTCTTGCATCTATGGCAAGTAACAGTCCATGTAGAAAATTGTAGAGCATTAATTCTAGAGTCAGTACCCTGAATTCTAGTCTCATTTCTACTACTACCTTGATCTGTGTTTTGGATACATTTTCTGAGTTTCAGCTTCCCTGTTTATAAAACAGGAGGCTAAAATATGATCTCAAAAATTCTTTTCTGTCAATATAATTCTAAACATCTGCTTTGAGGAACAATGTCTTAAGCCCATTACTTCAAAGTCTCATAGCTAAAGCACTGCTTTGTGTATGAATTGGGAAGCTTTTCTGAAGGTCAGGATTAATGACTTTACAAAATGAGAAACATACAGGCTTGTTTTATGAAGACATTTAGTATTTTACTTATTTTTAAACAAAGCCATTTCTTTTAGTACAAGAAAAAAATTGTATTCTTAAGAGATAAAGTGGTTCTAAAATTGAATATTTATCTAATCAACATAGGTTCTTAGAAATTTACAATATTGGGGAATAAAACCAAAACTGCACAGATTAGAAATAGGTTGATCATGCAGGGCACAGTGGCTGATGCCTTGGGAGTCTTAGGCAGGTGGATTGCTCGAGCTCAAGAGTTTAAGAACAGCCTGGGCAACATAGCAAGACCTCTGACTCTACAAAAAATACATACACACACACATGCACACACACACGCATACACACACACAGCTAGGAATGGTGTGCATGCCTGTAGTACCAACTACTCAGGAGACTGAGATGGGATGATCTTTTGAGCCAAGATCATGCCACTACACCCCAGCCTGGGCACTAGAGACCCAGTCTCAAAAAAAATAAATAAATAAAAACTATAAAAAGAAAAGAAAGAAAGAAAAGAAAAAGAAAAAAGAAAGAAATCAGTTAATTAACAGAAAAGCCCTTACATTAGAAATAAAATATTTATTGAATGAGGGGAGGCAGTTTCCAAGATGGCCAAATAGGAACAGCTCCGGTCTGCAGCTCCCAGCGTGATTGATGCAGAAATGGGTGATTTCTGCATTTCCAACTGAGGTACCTGGTTCATCTCACTAGGACTGGTTGGACAGTGAGTGCAGCCCATGGAGGGTGAGCTGAAGCAGGGCAGGGCATCGCCTCACCCCAGAAGCACAAGTGGACAAGGGATTTCCCTTTCCTAGCCTAGGGAAGCCATGACAGACTGTACCTGGAAAAACAGGACACTCCCACACAAATACTGCACTTTTCCCAAGGTCTTAGCAACCAGCAGACAAGGAGATTCTCTCCTATGCCTGGTTCAGTGGGTCCTACGCCCACAGAGTCTTGCTCACTGCTAGCACAGCAGTCTGAGATGGAACTGCCAGGTGGCAGCCTGGCTGGGGGAGGGGCATCTGCCATTGCTGAGGCTTGAGTAGGTAAACAAAGCGGCCGGGAAGCTCGAACTGGGTGGAGCCCACCACAGCTCACTCAGCAAGGCCTACTGCCTTTATAGACTCCAACTCTGTGGGCAGGGCATAGATGAACAAAAGGCAACAGACAACTTCTGCAGACTTAAACATCCCTGTCTGACAGCTCTAAAGAGAGCAGTGGTTCTCCCAGCACGGCATTTCAGCTCTGAGAACGAACAGACTGCCTCCTAAAGTGGGTACCTGACCCCCATGTAGCCTAACTGGGAGACACCTCCCAGTAGGGGCCGACAGACACCTCATATAGGCGGGTGCCCTCTGGGACAAAGCTTCCAGAGGAAGCATCAGGCTGCAATATTTGCTGTTCTGTAGTCTCCACTGGTGATACCCAGGCAAACAGGGTCTGGAGTGGACCTCCAGCAAACTCCAATAGACCCGCAGCTGAGGGAACTGATTGTTAGAAGGAAAGCTAACAAGCAGAAAAGAATAGTACCAACATCCACAGAAAGGACATCTACACCAAAACCTCATCTGTAGGTCACCAACATCAAAGACCAAAGGTAGATAAAACTACAAAGACAGGGAAAAACCAGAGCAGAAAACCTGAAAATTCTAAAAACCAGAGCACCTCTTCTCCTCCAAAGGATCACAACTCCTCGCCAGCAATGGAACAAAGCTAGATGGAGAATAACTTTGACGAGATGACAGAAGTAGCCTTCAGAAGGTCAGTAATAACAAATTTCTGTGAGCTAAAGAAGCATGTTCAAACCCATCACAAGGAAGCTAAAAACCTTGAAAAAAGGTTAGACAAATGGCTAACTAGAATAAACAGCGTAGAGAAGACCTTAAATGATCTGATGGAGCTGAAAACCATGGCACAAGCACTTCATGATGCATGCACAAGCTTCAATAGCTGATTCAGTCAAGTGGAAGAAAGGGTATAAGTGATTGAAGATCAAATAAATGACAAAAAGTGAGAAGACAAGGTTAGAAAAAGAAGAGTAAAAAGAAACAAACAAAGCCTCCAAGAAATATGGGACTATGTGAAAAGACCAAATCTATGTTTGATAGGTGTACCTGAAAGTGATGGGGAGAATGGAACCAAGTTGGAAAACACTCTGCAGGATATTATCCAGGAGAACTTCCCCAATCTAGCAAGGCAGGCCAACATTCAAATTCAGGAAATACAGAGAACACCACAAAGATACTTCGTGAGAAGAGCAACCCCAAGACACATAATTTTCAGATTCACCAAGGTTGAAATGAAGGAAAAACTGTTAAGGGCAGCCAGAGAGAAAGGTCGGGTTACCCACAAAGTGAAACCCATCAGACTAACAGTGGATCGGTCAGCAGAAACCCTACAGAACAGAAGAGAGTGGGGGCCAATATTCAACATTCTTAAAGAATTTTCAACCTAGAATTTCATATCCAGCCAAACTAAGCTTCATAAGTGAAGGAGAAATAAAATCCTTTACAGACAAGCAAATGCTGAGCGATTTTGTCACCACCAGGCCTGCCCTACAAGAGCTCCTGAAGGAAGCACTAAACATGGGAAGAAACAGCTGGTACTAGCCACTGTAAAAAAAAAAAAAAAAAATCGAATTGTAAAGACCATGATGCTATGAAGAAACTGCATCAATTAATGGGCAAAATAACCAGCTAACATCATAACGACAGGATCAAATTCACACATAACAATATTATCCTTAAATGTAAATGGACTAAATACCCCAATTAAAAGACACAGACTGGCAAATTGGATAAAGAGTCAAGACCCATCAGTGTGCTGTATTCAGGAGACCCATCTCATGTGCAGAGACACACATAGGCTCAAAATAAAGGGATGCAGGAAGATCTACCAAGCAAATGGAAAGCAAAAAAAAGCAGGGGTTGCAATCCTAGTCTCTGATAAAACAGACTTTAAACCAACAAAGATCAAAAGAGACAAGGAAAGCCATTACATAATGGTAAAGGGATCCATTTAACAAGAAGTAACTATTCTAAATATATATGCACCCAATACAGGAGCATGCAGATTCATAAAGCAAGTCCTTAGAGACCTACAAAGAGATTTAGACTCCTACACAATAATAATGGGAGACATAAACACCCCTGCTGTCAATATTAGACACATCAATGAGACAGAAGTTTAACAAGGATATCCAGGACTTGAACTCAGCTCTGCACCACGCAGACCTAATAGACATCTAAAGAACTCTTCACCCCAAATCAACAGAATGTACATTCTTCTCAGCACCACATCGCACTTATTCTAAACTCGACCACATAATTGCAAGTAAGCACTACTCAGCAAATATAAAAGAACAGAAATCACAACAAATACTCTCTCAAACAACGGTACAATCAAATTAGAACTCAGGATTAAGAAACTCACTCAAAACTGCACAACTACATGGAAACTGAACAACTTGCTCCTGAATGACTACTGGGTAAATAATGAAATGAAGGCAGAAATAAATATGTTCTTTGAAACCAATGAGAACAAAGACACAACATACCAGAATCTCTGGGACACATTTAAAGCAGTGTGTAGAGGAAAATTTATAGCACTAAATGCCCACAAGAGAAAGCAGGAAAGATCTAAAATTGACACCCTAACATCACAATTAAAAGAACTAGAGAAGCAAGAGGAAACACATTCAAAAGCTAGCAGAAGGCAAGAAATAACTAAGATCAGAGCAGAACTGAAGGAGACAGAGACATAAAAAAGCCCTTCAAAAAAATCAATGAATCCAGGAACTGGTTTTTTGAAACCATCAACAAAATTGATAGATTGCTAGCAAGAGTAATAAAGAAGAATAGAGAGAAGAATCAAATAGGAGCAATAAAAAATGATAAAGGGGATATCACCATTGATCACACAGGAATACAAAGTACCATCAGAGAATACTATAAACACCTCTACAAAAATAAACTAGAAAATCTAGAAGAAATGGATACATTCCTGGACACATACACCCTCCCAAGACTAAACCAGGAAGAAGTTGAATCTCTGAATAGACGAATAACAGGCTCTGAAATTGAGGAAATAATAGCCTATCAACCAAAAAAAGTCCAGGACCAGATGGATTCACAGGTGAATTCTACCAGAGGTACAAAGAGGAGCTGGTATCATTCCTTCTGAAACTATTCCAATCAATAGAAAAAGAGGGAATCCTCCCTAACTCATTTTATAAGGCCAGCATCATCCTGATATCAAAGCCTGGCAAAGACACAACAAAAAAAGAGAATTTTAGACCAATATCCCTGATGAACATCAATGCAAAAATCCTCAATAAAATACTGCCAAACCAAATCCAGCAGCACATCAAAAAGCTTATCCTCCATGATCAAGTTGGCTTCATCCCTGGGATGCAAGGCTGGTTCAACATATGCAAATCAATAAACGTAATCCATCACATAAACAGAACCAACAACAAAAACCACATGATTATCTCAATAGATGCAAAAAAGGCCTTCAACAAAATTCAACAGCCCTTTATGCTAATAACTCTCATTAAACTAGGTATTGATGGAATGTATCTCAAAATAATGAGCTATTTATGGCAAACCCACAGCCAAAATCATACTGAATGGGCAAAAACTGGAAGCATTCCCTTTGAAAACCGGCAGAAGACAGGGATGCCCCATCTCACCACTCCTATTCAACATAGTGCTGGAAGTTCTGGCCAGGGCAATTAGGCAAGAGAAAGAAATAAAGGGTATTCAAGTAGGAAAAGAGGAAGTCAAATTGTCTCTGTTTGCAGATGACATGATTGTATATTTAGAAAACCCCATCATCTCAGCCCCAAATCTCCTTAAGCTGATAAGCAACTTCAGCAAAGTCTCAGGATACAAAATCAGTGTGGAAAAATCACAAGCATTCCTATACACCAATAACAGAAAAGCAGAGAGCCAAATCATGAGTGAACTCCCTTTCACAATTGCTACAAAGACAATAAAATACCTAGGAATCCAACTTACAAGGGATGCGAAGGACCTCTTCAAGGAGAACTACAAACTACTGCTCAATGAAATAAAAGAGGACATAAACAAATGGAAGCACATTCCATGCTCATGGATAGGAAGAATTAATATCGTGAAAATGGCCATACTGCCCAAAGTAATTTATAGATTCAATGCCATCCCCATCAATCTACCAATGAGTTTCTTCACAGAATTGGAAGAAACAAGGTATTTATTTTGACATCACTAGGTTGAAATTTGACTATTAGACTTCAACCTTATTTTTTTAAACAAGTCCCTCCTTAAATCTCACATTTTTCTGGCCCCTTGGCTAAAACTGTGGGGCTCTGTCTTTAATATTTTACTGTCATTTACTCCTTAAGTCCAATATAGTCCTGAGCCTAGGTTGATCATTTGCTTCACTCCATTGCCACAGTGTCTAAATTTTCTTCACATCTCAACCTGGTGGCTACAGACTGGCTGACTTTGGCCTTTTTATTTTCAAGCAATCACGAAGTCCACTGACAAGTTCCCTCTTCTTCAAAGCACTTTCCCTGAATACTTGTATCTCAAGAATTCATATTGATTTGCTACTCTCTCGTTAGTAAGTCTAAATTTCTCTGCCAGACTCAGAGTTAGGTCTCCTTTAGCTGCTCTAGTCTCTTTTTTTACTGCTTTCTTCCCCTCTGTTCCCTCTGTCCCATGTATTTCAATTCCCTCATGGACTCCATACACAATGTCCTCCTCATTACTGATTTCATGCAGGTAATTATCATGTCAAGTCTTTTCTTTTGGAGACAGGATCTTGCTCTGTTGCCCAGGCTGGAGTGCAGTGGCACAATCATAGCTCACTAAAGCCTTGACGTCCTGGGCTCAAGTGATCCGCACGCTTTAGCCTCCTAAATAACTAGGACTACAGGCACGCACCACCACATCTAATCTTTTTGTTGATATGTTGTAATGTCTTTTTGTTATGTTGCCCAGGCTGCCGAGCCTTATTTTTGATTGACGCTTTACATATTTACTGATATATTTCTATGCATTTGCTATTAATAACTCAACTTCATGACTCTCAAATTATTTCAGGTTTATGCATTATAAAAAAAACTTAAATGGTCATCATAATGCAAAGATCTACTTACTTTTTGGGAATATATGACTTGAACTTAAAATTAGTTCTTTTACTGACCAGTTGTGTTTCTGTTGGCAAGTCATACTGTGAGCCTCACAACAGTGTTATAAATATTAAATGAAAAAGATGAAAAGCTATTTTGTCAGCCCTAATTGCAATACCAGTACCATTGTTTTCAATATGTTATTTCCATGCAGAACAACACATCCTTAAAGTATTAGATAAATAGAAGGTCTGTTAGAAGGCGTTTAATAAGTGTACGAAATATGCTTCAAAAAGCCACAAAGTGAAGTTTCAAATTTTTAAAAAGTTGGAGTTAACTGTAAAGCCATTGGTATTAACATAGTTTAGTTCTAAATATTGAATTAGATGGCAATTCTTATGAGAAGGAATTATAACAATAAAACTGATGAGACACTGTTTACTGAAGTGTTTGCTAAAAGAAACATTACTATCAGCTGACTACACCCACGGCAAGTTACAAGAGACCTTTCCTAATTGCATTGTGTTATCACTGATAAAAGATCTATTTCTATGAATCGAGAGAACCTAATTAGGGCCTCTTTGCAGAGTAATTCTGATTCTATATATTTTTTCCCTGTTACCATTCTTTATGGTATTCACAGGCAACTACATTGAAATCAGCGTAGACTTGACCTATTGAGGAAGTTTAATGGGAAATGCTAATAACCAGGAAATGTTAATGAGCTGGGAACATATATCCTAGCTGAGATGAAATGCATCACAAGAGAATAATTAACGTTAGAACTCACAACTTAGTTGCTAAATTATTTTATAATTTAAGAATATAGGACTAAAAAGCAGAAATACAAAGTACTTTGAAAGATTAGTCGTTGAAGTGTCTTTTCTAAGAAGTGGATAAACTACAGATTCTTGAATATTGTTTTCTAAATTTTCTACACTACTTTAGCGTACACTGAACACAAGAGTTAAAACTGAAGTAGTAACAAAAGAAGAGTTTGTGTATATCTATGGAAAGCTAAGACTGTTGGTCTTAGCAGAGACTTTTTAAAGAGATTTTTGTCTCTTAGACAGAGACAGACAACTGACCACCAAAATTTGGGCTTCCTTTCCCATAGTTTAGAGTTGTGAAGCAATTGCCCAGATAATGATTGTACTTCCAAATTCTCTTTGCGTCCAAGTAGGACCATGTGACCAGTCCTCCCCAGTGGAATGTGAACAGAAGTGATCCATTTTTGAGAGAGAGGAAGGAAGGAAGGAAGGAGAAAAAAAAATACCAATTTTAAAAAATCTAAATTGTGAGTTGCTTAATGTGTTTCAATAGCACAAGTATAGATTATTTAACTGAGTTGTTATCTAATTCAGTAAAATGCTTAAATACTAGGATATGATTTAAAGGTATGTCTTGATTATAAATAAGACTCTCAAATATCCCCGGCCACTGAGGATGGAGCTTCTCTGCTAAATAAGCTATTATTAGTCTTAGATTTCCTTACCAGGGAGAAGTTCATCACAGTTTTGGCCAAAGGAAGAAAGTGAAGAGCAAGGAATTGAGCTGTACGAAATAAAAGACCCAAGCATTTGAGCAGGTGTCATTTCAGTTCTGATCAAAATAATTCGAGTTCAGTGTGTATGGTGTGTTAGTGGGAACATGATTGGTGGTGGCCAGACACTGCTGAAAGAAGAGCCAGAAAGCTAGAAACTCTGAAACATTCTATTTAAATCTAAGTCCCAGGTAGGTAACCATAAGAATGAGCTTGATGACTTCAAAGAAGTTTTAGGTCAGAAAATAGACAAGTAGCCTCTGACAAAAAGGAGGGTTTTGAATAGCTAGGTCAGAATTGTATCTTTTTAAATTTGGGCCCTTAAGGGAGCAGTTAATTCGTTATTAGAGTGGATTCTGAAGGATAGATGCAAAATTTACTAGGAAATTATAGTTTTTCTCATCCTTTTAAAGTAATATTTAATTAAATTATGTAATAATAAAGCAATACAACCAGCATAAACACTTTGGGGAACACAATGACCATTGGGACATCAGCCATTGCTTTATTACAAACTGTCCTCAAAACTTAGTGTTTCAAAACACCTACCTTTTAAAATTTTTAATTAACAGATAGTAATTGTATTTATATGGGGTACAATATGATGTTTTGATACATCCATACATTGTATAAGTTAAATCAAGATTAAATCAAGCTAATTAACATATCTATCACCTCATCTACTAATTGTTTTTTGTGGTGAAATATTTAAAATCCAATCTTTTAGCAAGTTTGAAATATACTATATAATATTATTAAATATGGTCACCGTGTAGCACAATGGACCAGTAAAATGCTTGCTAGAGCTAAAAATAGGACTATTTTTTGTCTAACTGAAACTTTGTATTCTGTGACCAACATCTTCTCTTTCCCCATCTCCAGCCCCCAACCATGGATAATCACCATTCTACTCTTTGTTTCCATGAGTTCAAATTTTTTATTTTTGCATTTCTGAGAATACAATAAATATATAGTTATTAACTATAGTTGTCATGCTATACAAGAGATCTCTTGAACTTATTCCTCCTACCTAACTGAAATCTTAAATCCTTTGACCAACATTTTCTCAACCCCCTCTCTTCCCACTGTCCTAGCCCCTGGTAACCATCTTTCTACTCCCTACTTCTGTGAGGTTAACTATTTTAGATTCCACATAGAAGTGAGAACATGCTCTCTGTGCCTGGCTTGTTTCACTTAACATCATAGCCTCCAGAGTCATCCATATTGAAGGAAATAACAGAATTTCCTTCTTTTTATGGCTAAATAGTATTACATTGTATTATACTACATTTTCTTTATTCACTCATCTGCTGATGGACACTAAAGTCAATTCCATATCTTGGTTGTTATTCATAAGGCAAAATAAACATGGGAGAATAGATATCTCTTTGACATACCAATGTAATTTCCTTTGATATATAACCAGTAGTGAGACGACTGGATCATATGGTAATTTTATTTTTAGTTTTTTTGAGAAACCTTCATACTGTTCTCCATAATGGCTGTCTAAATTACACTCCCATCAACAGTGTACAAGGGTTTTTTTTCCTTCACATTCTTGCCAACACTTGTTATCTTTCTTTTTTGATAATAGCTATTCCAACAGGCATAAGGTGATATCTCATTGTGGTTTTAATTTACATTCTTCCAATGATTAGTTATGTTGAACATTTTTTATATACCTGTTTGCCATTTGTGTGTCTTCTTTTGAGCAATGTCTATTTAGGCCTTTTGTCCATTTTTAATTGAATTGCTTTCTTGCTATTGAGTTTTAAATATATTTTGGATATTAATTGACACTTTATCTGATACATGGATTGCAAATATTTTCTCCCATTCCACAGGTTGTCTCTGTTGATTTTTTTCCCTTGGTGGTGCAAAAGACTTTTAGTTTAATGTACTACCATTTGCCTATTTTTGCGTTTGTTGCCTGTGCTTTGTTTATTTCCAAAAAACTTATTACACAGACCAATGTCATAGAGATGTTCCCCTATGTTTTCTTCCAGTAGTTTTACAATGTCAGGTCTTTTGTTTAAGTCTTTAATCCATTTGGAGTTTATTTTTGTATGTGGTGTGAGATTAGGGCCTAATTTCATTCTTCTGCATGTGTATACACAGCTTTTCCAACATCATTTATTGAAGGGGCAGTCTTTTCCCCATTAGTGTTCTGGATAACTTAGTCAACAATGAGTTGGTTGTAAATATATTAATTTATTTCTGGGCTCTCTAGTCTGTTCCATCGGGCTATATATCTGTTTTCATGCCAATACACACTGTCTGATTACTATGTCTTTGTAGTATATTTTGAAGTCAGGTAGTGCAATCTCTGCAACTTTCTTTCTTTTTTTGTTTGTTTGTTTGTTTGTTTGAGACAATTTTGCACTTATTGCCCAGGCTGGAGTGCAATGGTGTGATCCCGGCTCACTGCAATCTCCGCCTCCCGGGTTCAAGTGATTCTCCTGCCTCAGCCTCCCGAGTACCTGGAACTACAGGCCTGCGCCACCATGCCCAGCTAATTTTTGTATTTTTAGTAGAGACAGGGTTTCACCATGTTGGCCAGGCTGGTCTTGAACTCCTGACCTCAGGTGATCCGCCCACCTCAGCCTCCCAAAGTGCTGGGATTACAGGCATGAGCCACCCAGCCCGGCCTGCTTTGTTTCTTTTGTTTGTTTTTTGTGGGTTCTTTGTTTTTTGTTCAAGATTCCTTTAGCTGTTTGGGGTCTTCTGTGGTTTCATGCAAATTTTAGGATTATTTTTCTGTTTCTATATAAAATCTCTTTAGAATTTTGATTGAAATTAACATTGAATCTATAGATCATTTTGAATAGTTTGGACATTTTAACAATATGAATTCTTCCAATTCATGAACATGGAGTATCTTCCCATTTTCTTATGTCTTCTTCAATTTATTTCATCAATGTTTTTTAGCTTTCAGCATACAGGTCTTTCACTTTTGATTAAAATTTATTTCTATGTATTTTATTGTTTCTTTTCTTAGCTATTGTAAATGAGATTGTTTGCCTGATTTCTTTTTCAGATAGTTAGCTGTTAGTATATATGAATGCTATTTATTTTGTATGTTGATTTTGTCTTCTGTAACTTTACAGAATGTGTTTATCAGTTCTAACAGTTTTTTGATAGATTCTTTAAGGTGTTCTGAATATAAGATCATGTCATCTACGAACTGAGACAATTTAACTCTTCCTTTCCAACTTGGATGCCTTTTGCTTTTTTCTCTTACCTAATTGCCCTGGCTAGGACTTTTGATACAATGTTAAATAGAAGAGGTAAAAGTGGGCATCTTTGTGTTGTGCCTGATCTTAGATTAAAATGTTTCAACCTTCCCCCATTGAGTATGATGTTAGCTATGAGTCTGTCATATATGATCTTTACTGTGTTGAGGTACATTCCTCTATATCTGCTTTGTTGAGAGCTTTTTTTTAAAATCATAAAAGTGTGTTGAATATTGTCAAAAATTTGTTGGCATTTATTGAGGTGATTATATGTTTTTTCTCCTTCATTCTGTTAATGTGTTGTATCACATTTATAGAGTTGCATTTAACTCTTCTTGCATCCGTAGGATAAAGTCCACTTGATCATTGTGATTAATGTGCTGTTGAATTTAATGTGCTATTCAATTCAGTTTGTTAGTATTTTCTTGAGGATTTTTACACATATGTTCATCAGGCATACTGCCTTGTAATTTTTGGTTTTTTTGTAGTGTCCTAATCTGGCTCTAACCTCATAATACTGGCCTCATAAAAGAGTTTGGAAGTATCACCTCCTGTTCAATTTCATGAAAATGTTTGGGAAGGATCGGTAATAATTAGTCTCTAGATGTTTGATGTTTGGTGGAACTCAACAGTGAAGCCATAAGATTCTAAGGTTTTCTTTGATACGAAGCTTTTTATTACCAGTTTTATGTCCTTATTCATATTGATCTGTTCAGATATTCTATTTACTTATGTTTCAATCTTGGTAAGTTGTATGTGTCCAGGAGTTTACCCATTTCTTCTAATTTATTTAATTTGTTGTTGTATAATTGTTCATAGGAGTCTTTTATTACCCTTTGTATTTCTGTTGTATCAATTGTAATGTCCTGATTTTCACCTTTATTTATTTGGGTCTTCTCTCAGAAAATAAATTTTTTAATGGCAACCATTTGTTTCAAAATTATAGGTTATAATAAACATGCATCTTGTATACTCCCTCAATGCAGATAATTCATTTAACAAGAATATTTTACAATGATGTAATATAAGTAAATATGTTTGTATTACTAGATGTTGCCAAAAATTATCTACTTACTCCATTACAGGAGATGTTACTGGAATTAAGTGACTTTATCACAAGCTAATAGGCTCTGAATGTAACATGTTATATTAATAGTATAATGGTGACATCTTTTCAAAATTCATATTTATATTTACCATTTATACATAATTCATATTTACCATTGATATAAAAGGTAAAGCCTTTGAAAGAAACACTTCTCTAACCCAATAAAAAATTGCTGGAAGCACTATATCTAGGGTTAAATTTCATTAATTACCTTCCCAAATCTCTAAGAGAATTCCAGTTGTGTCACATAATGGTCAATCTATTTTAGTCAACATTTGTAATGATATGTCAATGTGATTAAAGACATAAAACAATTCCTTAAAATTGCCAATGTGACCTATATTGAAATACAAATTTAACACTAGGTTGAAAGGTTCAATGTTTGACTACTTGTTCTTTCAATGTATACTACTACTACTACTGATGATAATGATAATAATAATAATAATAATAATAATAATAATAAAGCCTTCACAGACCTCATGGTTCACAAAATATATTCTCATGTTGTATTCTTTTCCGAATGATTGTGAGGACTGTGCTTTATGCTCAGCACTATTTTCTACTTAATAATGCCTTAGATTTGACCAGTGCCTCTTTCAAAATTAATCATGTTAACCCTGATATTACCTGGAAGATCTGTTCCTCTTCTTATTTTTCTTGGCAGTTCATAAATAATCTGCATCATTCACAATTGCCTCTCAGTATGTCCTTTCTGTGTTACTTTTCAAATATTTAGTTGTAACATCTGTTTCAGCCCCCGTCACAGCAATTGTTTGGGATTCTAGCATTCATCACTTATTCTGCATACCAATCGGACCATGTATAGGAAGTCTTGTTTTCAGAAATTTAAGCAGGCTGTGGTCCAATGCTCTGTTGATTATAGTATCTCCTGACTTTAGAATTGACTTTAACTATGACTAGTTGACTTTACGGCTAAGCAGGAATGAAGTTAGTTAGATAATGTAATATACAATGGGAGGAAATAAACTTGGTGGGAAACTATTCTGCTCAAAATACTTTTAAACTTTTCAGAAAAACTTAAAAAGCTTTACTCAAAAGAATCACTAGGGGAAAAAATCTAGATTTAAGACAAATGCAGAAAGCAGGCTATAAAATATTTAGAGTCAGTGCTTAGCCAAGAATTAATTCAAGGTAAATTAAACTTAAAAAAAAGCTTGAAGGAGGAAACTATAAATGATATGTCTTCTGAGGCAGTGAGGGAAACATTTTTACTTATGAGTAAAATGTTGGATTTTACTCATTGGATAATCTTGGGTTGGTCACAAGCTTGTGAATTTTCATTATTATATATATTTTTGTGATCTGGATAGGAGAGGTCAAGGTTGTATGAATTGTTTGGAAGTCACTTAAATAGGTTGTATGTCTTAGGAAAATAATTAGGACTCAAGAGTGGAAAGTTAATGTATTCTATCTAATTAGTCTAAATTACAGCAGGCAGTAATGATAAATTGAAACCCTGCCAGGAATCTCTGCACCCTCTGAATCAAACTCTAGAAGCATTAGACACACCATAGGAACTTGTAAAAATGTAGATTCTTAGGCTCCACCTCAGATTCTTGTACAGAGGATTTGGGGTGAAAATCTAAGAATCTGAATATCGGATTTTGAGATACATGTTCCATGGAACACACTTTTAAAAAACACTGCTGAATTGCATGATAAATTTATCATTTCCTATTAAAATAAGAAAGAGAGCTTGTTTGAAGAGTAAAATGAATAAAAATTACCATGAAATGTGAAATGTGAATTTGCCTTATTTGCAAAAATTGCCAAAGTTTTGCATGCAAAGCAGCAGTGCTTCAAGTATTTACAAACAGACATTTGCATACATTGTGCAGTAGATATACTCTGTTTCTTTAGTCATTGATGTTTAGTATTAGAACCATTGAGATAAATTCTAATATGTACAAATATGGTATGTGCATGGCCACAGAATTTAATGTAGACTGTGGTGACAGGCCACCTGCATTCAAATCTGTACTATCACATAATAGATGTGCAAACTTGTATAAGTTCCTTAACCTCTTTGTGCGTTACATTTCTTATCTGTAAAATGAGAATGATGACAATACCTCATGTAGACTAAAGGAGAGCAAAGTATTTCATATGCATAAAATGTTTAGAAACTTTCCTAGACTATCATAAGCCCTCAATTAACTTATTAGTTATCCACTAGGTAACTGCTAAAATAAATTCAACTGATAGACTACAGTAACATATTTGGGATTAATTGAAAACATTATTGCTTAGCCTACAATGTTAATGCATAAGGAGAATAAAGTAAAGAGAATCAAGCTAAAATTAGAGTAAAGGCTCCACTCTGATGTTAAGCACTATCTCCCCAGTTGCTTACTAGTATATTTTCTAAGTTAGATTTTTAAAAAATTATTATTTGTTCTATTCTGAAGAGAAAAAAAGAGAATTGACTGGAAATAATTTAGGGATACTAGAACAAACTTCTAATTTGCTTCCTATCTGTGGAATCCGTGTTTCCCCTGTTCTCTGTTCTTCTCCCCACTGTTGTTTTTTCCTGAGGCCACGGTGAAAACAGAAATTTTTTTTTCATCTTTACCTTCTTCTTTCCTATATTCAGAAACATACAATTTTTGTATAATTTGACTCATAGTAAAATAGAAAAACATAAAATTCACAAAACAATGCTTTCTTCCTTGGATCCATAGCCAAAAGGTAGACAATTAGAAAAGCAAAGATTCTGAGGCTCTGTGTCTTACAGAAAATTAGCCTGACCATCATCACTTCAACTTGGTGTTAGAGTGTCCAGCTAGTAATCCATACTGGACTCACAGAGAGGATATTCTTTATTAGAATACATATCCATCAACAGCAAAGCTCCAGTTTTGGAGCTAGGGTCTGACACGAGATTCCACATCATGGAGAAAGTCTAAGCAGAAGAGTGCTTAGATGTGAAGTCAAGATTCAGAGTGAGGTAATGGATTAAAACTCAGGCAAAGAAATCAGGCTGTCTTTTAACAATGTAAGGCAGCAGGAAGATCAATAACAAAAACCCACAGCAGTCATCTGTGGGTCATGGGATTCCAGATATGGCAGAGGAGCCCAGTGGTAAACCCAGCTGTGTGGGGCATCTAAGCTGTTAAAAACTTCCTGCTTGAATCTGAATTGGCTCAGAAACTAGCAAAATAGAGCCTCCAGTGAACCTTTCAAATAATAGGTGGGTCCACTGAATTTTGTGGAATTGAATAAAATACAAGATCATGTCTTCAGTGTCACACTGCTGTGCCATATTTTGATTCAGGAGATAACAAATTGGTCCTGCTGAGTAGAACGGCAAATGAACCTTGGAGAGGATATTGCCAGTGAAGAGCAACACATGGAGATAATGAATCACAAATGAAAGTGTTACCTGCAACTCGACAACATGTGTTTTATGTTACATAACTTCAACTGGTTTTAAGAACTGCTTTGTGTTGCTTAATAGAATAATATTTAATCTTTTTAATTAACTAAAATTACTGAATGAAGTTTTCTAAAAAAGAAAATGCATTGTAAACATTATTTTTTAGGATGGACATAAAATACAAAAATAAGATTGTTGCCCAAAAGACTTTCATTCTAAGCCTTGTACTTTAGATAGCTCATTTCATTTTAATTTCATACCAGTTCAATGTTAAAGTTTATCATTTTCTTAGGGCATAACAGTTCTCACATATAAAGAAAATGTGCATTATGATAAAATGGAAAATAACTCTAAAATGACATCTTGGATGTGGTAGAGATCTTTCTTTGCTTTCCTGATTTCTTTCTCAATATTTAATATTTTTCTAAAACCTGTTCTTTTGTACTAACTTAGTACCTAGAAAAATAATTTTGACTATAGTAATTCAAGGAAAGCACTAAACTTTATGATATATTACTGCAGGGCTTGTCTCTTGGCGAGAAGCAGGAATGGTTGGCATTAATGAGAGCATGACAGTTCTGAAAGAAAGCCAGCTTATGGCATTATGAATCATAGAGCTCTAAAACATTTATAAATGAATGAAAAGGCTTGGGGCTGACATGAATTATGAGTCTCATTATGGAACTGTAATTTCTCCAGCAATGCCTCAGAGGGGCATGACACCGCCTAAGAAAAGTTGTAAGACTTCCATTATATAATTTTTCTGCTGGTTGGCTATGATCATGGTGGAATAGATCTGTGTCTCTGGAGTACACATGGCAACATATCTCTACATGTAAATGTTTCCATGGTAAAAATCCATCAAGACTCCTTTCTTCTAGAAACCAAACATTACTGTTGACCTTCAAGAAAAAATACCAGTCCCTAGCAAGAAGACTTTTCAATCTTTCCATTTCTCTAAGCAACATTCAGATAGGCTATAATGCACCTATTGTTTTCCAGTCACACAAGCTGACAAAATCTCAGCAACATTAACAAAGATAGTTCCTAGGGGAAAGAAGCACAGATTATTTAGTTAATTATAAGTGTTGTGAAAAGGAAAAAAAAAGTAGGATGAAATACTGATCAGTGCAAATATAATGCACTGATATATAGTGCTCTTAGCATTAGCACATTTGAGATTTTTGCCATCTTAAAGCAGCTCAGGCTAACAAAACTTCACTTATAGGGTGAATTGGGGAAAAGGCTATCTAAAATAACTAGAAGCATGCATTATCAATCATTTCCATGAAAATTTTGTATTATTTTCAAATAAAAAGGCTTATCAAAACATGAATTTAAACAATGGCAAGCCTCTTCACTGTCAGATTTTCCATTACATTTTTATGTGCAAATAAATATTTCTAAAATAACTGAAGAAACAAGTTGGGTGTTTACGTGGTAAGAACCCCTCCACACATGCTTTTCTGTATTTGTCTATCTATCTATTTATCTATCATCTCCCACCCACTGTGATTAAGAGAAATATAGAATTACTATGATTCTAGTGTGTGACAGGGAAACTGCTATAGGTTGTTAAATTTCTGTTCCTTTTTCCTCTTAGGTTGAGAGGTAGACTTTAGATTGCAGCCTCCTTTACAGTGGGGTGGGGTTATGTGACTGAGGTCTGGTCCATGAATGTGAGTAAAGGTGATGTTTGCCACTTAGAGTCCTGGTATATAAGAATATCCTGGGTAATACTTTTTGCTCACTCTCTTGCCTCACCAGGTGAACAAGAGCTGTGAGAAGACTCTGAGGCCTTAGGAAATGGGAAAGCTACCGGTCAAAAGGATCCTGGCCCCTGAATAACTGCACAGCTCTTTGCTGGTCTGCACTGGGATGCGATGTAACTGATAAATAAACATTTCTTATGTTAAACCACTGAGATTTAGGAATTATTTGCAATAGTTGTTAGCCTACCCTGGCAAATTAATACAAAACATAGTATTCCTATGTAAAATGTATGAAAATATGACCTTAAAATATTCCTCCTGTTTAAGACACAGACCAAAATTGAAGATGTAATTTCCTTCCTTCCTTATCTATGTTTTATAGGAATGTATTCTCAGAGATCTGTAGATTCTATTTATTAGAAATTAGTGTTGTTAAAAAATAAACTGTTGGGTTGAATCAAGAAATTGTTAGAAAAAAATCACATTCAGGAAAGTGGTCTTGACTGATACCTAGGGGCACAGATCCAATTATTATTTGGATATGATTTTCCTTCACTTTAGTTATCCCTGAGTCCTAGTTTTCTACTGCTGCCTCAGCCTGTCTTCTAATCCATTATTCCAAAGCATTAATATTCCATATCTGACTGCACACCATCAGAATAGCCCTGTTTTCCATTTTCCCTTTCCTTTCTACTGTAAATGGAAAAGAACTTATTTTGCTGAATGATGGCTACAATTAGTCTGTGTGGCTTAGCGTGTACATTTCTATTTGCTACACTAATCAGACTAATTTATAGTCCACAGAATATGGAAGGTTTTATTTTTTGAGATGATTAATACCTATATTTTCTTTTTTTCTGTGTGAATTATCAGTATAGTGGATCTAAATTCCTTGTAGCAGCCACAAAAGTAGATAAAGAGCAAACTAACATTTTAACTCTGAAAATTGCCATAGAATATAAAGCTCCTTTTGGTACATTTAAACCACAAGATATGAATTTATAAAGCACATCTGTGTTTTAAGGAATACACCTATAATATCCTTAATAATTTAATAAAATTAAAGTAGGGTCATGTTCTCAAATCATAGTTTCCTACACTTTTCTTCAGGAAGAACTCTATTTGCTTTCCAGGAATATTTACATCTCCCTAAAATTCTTATGTTGATGTCTTAATTCTTATTACCTCAGTATGTGACCTCATTTGTGGAGTCATTACAGATGTAAGTAGTGAAGATGAAGTCATACTGAAATAGGATGGGCTCCTAATCCAGTATGACTTGTGTCCTTATGCAAAAGGAAAAAGTGGAGACAGACACACACAGGGAGAATGCCACACAAACACGAAGGCAGAGATCAGGTGAGAGACAGCAAAGATTGACAGCAAACCACAGGAGTTGGGAGAGAGGCATAGAAGAGGTTTTCCCTAACACCTCTCACAGTGACCAAGCTTGATGATGCCTTGGTCTCAGACTTTTAGCCTCCAGAACTATGAGACAACAAATTTCTGTTGTTTAAGCCACCCAATTTGTGGTACTTTGTTTTGGCAGCTGGAGCAAATAAATACACATTAAAACCAAGAGTCCTGGGCCCAGCATACTCACTGTGACTGTGCTATCAGAGTTATTCCTAAGATGCCCTAAAATACAAAAACAAAACAAACAACAACAACAAAAACAGTGAATGACCTTGGTAGACCCACACTCTGGGTATCTTAGCCTTTTGGGGAAGAATGATATAACATGATACGGTGGCTTTATGTTATGTAGATACAATCGTTTAACATCTCCCATTTACTAAGGGCCATCTGCATGCTAGCAATTGTTCAGGAAGTATGGAATTAGAAAACTAAGATGTCTGCCCTCATAGAGCTAGCAAAAGGAAGACAAATAAAAAAGTAAAAAAATGAAAAAAGATAACTTTTAAAACAGTAAGGACAGTGAACAAAACAGGAATAACATGACAGTGACTGGAGTGTTTTAAGGAGAATTGTCAGAAAAGACCTGTGTATGGAGGAAACATCTGACTGGAGGCCTGAATGATGAGATGAGGCCAAATTGTGAAAGGCCAGAGCAAGAACATTCCAAGCAGAGGAAATGAGGAGTAGGAAGGCCTTAAGGAAGACACACACTAGGTACTCCAGGAACATGAAGAAGACTCTGTGGCAGATCTTAGTGAGTGGGAGGGGAGGAGTATAAGCTGAAGTTCAAGAGGCAGTTGTCACTTTTGTTGAGCTATGGCATACAGATTGGATTTTATTCAAAGTATAATGGGAAGACTTTAGGAGATTTTAAGCAGAAGCTAATCTGACTAATTTAGGTTTTAAAGGGCCAGACTTGCAGGAAATTAAGACTAAAAGAAGGGAATCCATCTTTTGCAATAGTCAAGATGAGTGATGATGGTGAATCCAACCAAGATGGTCTCAGTGCACACAGCAGAACCAATAGGACTTGCAGTGAAGGATGAGAGAATGAGAAGAAAGAAGGCTGATTGTAGAGTGAGGCTTGACACATTGCATGGGTGGTAGTGTCATCAACAAGGTAGGGAAGATTGGGGAGGATCAGGTGATATATATCTGGAAGTTATCACTCACTAGATGATACATGGTCACAGGACTGGATATGATCACGGAAGAGGAGAGTGCAGTTAGAAGGGAGATGTGGCCCTTGAGCTGAACCATGGAGCAAACAACATGTAGAGGTTTGTGAGAGATCAACAAATCAGATTGAAAAGAAGAGCCTGTGAGGTGGGAGGAAAACCCAGAGAAAATGGTGTCATAAAATCTACGAGATGGAAGAATATAAGGTGGAGGTCAAATGCTACCACGTGGTTATTAAAATAAGAATTGGGAAGTAGTGATTGAATATGGCAAATTTTGATATATATTATAAAAGAACAAAAAACGATGCTCAGACATTGAATAACAGTGGAGTTGGTTTGGTAAGCTGATGGTATGAGGAACCCTGGAGACAGGGAATACCGGAAAATATTCTATGTAAGGGTATGGTTAAAGTTCTAATTAAAGAGAAGAAACCACCAAGAGAGGTATATTTTAAAAAAATTATGTGTGTGTTTGTTTTGTTATGTTTCGTTTTAGTAGCAATGTTGAGAGATCCTTCCCTTTCAAGGAAACAAGAGTTATATTTTTTGAGGAATTTTTTTTTTTCCTTGAAGAAACTAGATTGGAGACACAGGAGGGTCTATCATAAAAGACCTTGTAGATCAGTTTAAAGAGTTGAAATCTTATTCCACATGGATAGGAAGAGAATGTCATGTATTTTGTATTATGTATTTTGATTTACATACGTATTTGCATAAAAAAATTTTATAAGATTTTTCAAATTCAGAAGCATTACATATTCCCTGTAACACATTAAGCTCATTGAGGTTAACCTAACTTTGTGATTTTGTCAACTTAAAACAACAAATGACTTTAGAAATCACATAGAGGCCCTATCTTATCTACTCTGGAAGGTAGAATATTGAAGAATCAGAAAAAATATTTTAGACTTGACCATTGTGTTTCAGTAGGAAATAGTAGAAGATATCTGTATTTTTTCTCATTATTTTTTAAATTGAAAGATAACATTGTATGTTTCTGTGTATAACATGATGTTTTGAATTACATATACATCGTGGAATGGTTAAATCTAGCTAATTAATGATTGCCTTTTCTCATATAGTTATTTTTGTGGTCATTCTTATTGGTCATAAAATCCGATTGAAAGTGACTCAAGAGTGAAATGGAGTTTCCATGTCATGTCACCTTGATGTGTTCTTGTTTGTTTTCTGTGTTGTTTACATAGCTTTAAAGTTTTTAAAATTTTTTTGAGTTTCAGGGGTACATGTGCAAGTTGGTTATACAGATAAATTGCATGTCACGGGGGTTTGATGTATGTATTATTTCATCACCCAGGTAATAAGGATAGTATCCAATAGTTAGTTTTTCTATCCTAATCATCTTCCCACTAAACTTTTTAAACTCTGATCTCTAAAATATCAGCTTTTTCAAAAAATAGGTTGAACTTTTCACAATGAACTCAGATAATATATGAAAACAGATGAATTGCATTGCATAGATTATTTAAAAAGTATAACAGCCTCATTGTTTGGCATGTAAAACCAAAAGCCCAGAAATCAAGTGTTAACTTAGGTCTCAAGAGTGAAATGCCATTTAGCTAACATGGATACCTAATTCCCTGAGACCTTTTTCACTTCCCTCCTTTTCACTATGCTCTATAATGGCTTTCACAAGAAACTAACTAAAAAACTATAAAACTAACTCTCAGATTACTTTTCTAATGGTCTTTAAGAACATAATGATTAACTTCTACCTGGGTGCATATCCCCGCAAGTATACTGGTGCTGACCACATACTGTTTCGATTTAACACAATGACGTCTATCCTCAAATTATGAGTGTTATTGCTAAATGATTAGAAAAAGAGTTTAGCTGAAATAATATAGTTAAAAAAAACTTTTCAGATAAAACATGCCACAAAAAAAGCATGTTTTTCCCTTGGATAGGACCTCAAGTTAGGTTTTAAGCATGTTTGTTTTACATACCTAGGCTACTACATACCTAGGCTGTATGGTATAGCCTACTGATTGGTCCTAGGTTACAAACCGGTACAGTAGGTAACTGGGCTGAATACTGTAGGCAATTGTAACACAGTGGCATTTGTGTGTATCTAAACATAGGAAAGGTACAGTAATGATATGGTATGAAAGATAAAAAGTGGCATACCTGTATAGGGCACTTACATGAATGGAGCTTGCAGGACTGAATGTTGCTCGGGGTGAATCAGTGGGTGAGTGGTAAGTGAATGCAAAGGACTAGGACCTTCCTGTACATCTCTGTAGACTTTATAAACACTGTACACTTAGGCTACACTAATTTTAAAACATTTTTCTTCTTCAACAATAAATTGACCTTAGCTTACTGTAACATTTTTACTTCATAAACTTTCAATTTTTTTAAACTTGTAATAACACTTAGCAGCTACACAAAATATTTTTCTGTGTCCTTATCTAAAGATTTTTTTCTATTTTAAAAATGTTTCATTTTTATTTTTTACTTTCTAAACTTTTTTGTTAAAAACTAAGACACAAACACACATTAGCCCAGGCCTACACAGGGTCAGGATCATTACGACCACTGTGTTCTACCTCCACAACTTTTCCCACTATAAGGTTGTAAGGGCCAGTATCACCCATGGAGCTCTCATTGCCTGTGACAACAATGTCTTCTGGAATACCTGCTGAAGGACCTGCCTAAGGCAATTTTGCAGTTAACTTAAAAAAAAATAAGTCAAAGGAGTACACTCTAAAGCAATGATAAAAAGTATAGTATAGTGAATACACCAGTAACACAGTCGTTTATTATCATTGTCTACTATTATGTAGTGTACATAATTTTATGTGTCATACTTTTATACAACTGATGGCACAATAGGCTTGTTTACACCAGCATCACCACAAACATGTGAGTCATAATGTGTTCCACTTTGATATTAAGACAGCTATGACATCCATAGGCAATAGGAATTTTGTATCTCCATTATAATCTTATGGGACCACTTTCTTAATGCAGTCCATCAGTGACCAAAATGTCATCGTGTGGCTTGCTCATCACTGTATTTGGTTAAACGTCCCGCTAGGTGTGTTTGTGAGAATGTTTCTGGATGATATTAACATTTTAATGGGTAGACTGAGTAAAGTGGATTGTCTTTCCCAATGTTGGTGAGCCTTATCCAGTCTGTTGAAGGTTTGAAGAGAACAAAAGGCTGAATAAGGAAAAATTCACTCTGTCTGCCTGACTGTATTCAAGTTAGGACACTGGCCTTCTCCTGTCTTTGGACTCAGACTGGAACTTACACTATCAGCTCTCTTGTTTCTCAGGTATTCAGAGACTCAGAATGGAACCATACCATTTGTTCTGCTGGGTCTCCAGTTTGCCGACTGCAGATCATGGGATTTTACAGCCTCCATAATCACATGAGCCAATTTCTTACAGTAAACAAATCTCTCTCTCTCTCTCTCTCTCTCTCTCTCTCTCTCTCTGTGCATGTGTGTTTGTGTGTGTGTGTATTTATACACAGATTGTTTCTTTGGAGAGCCATGACTAATACAGTGAGATTATTCATCACAAATAGAGAAAAGCAATGAAATAAAATGTCTATATTTACCACACTACCTTAACTCAAAACCAGTTTGAAATCATCTTTCTGACGCCTCAGGGTTCATTAGAATTAATGAACTGGGCATGGCATGCCTGTAATCCCAGCACATTGGGAGGCTGAGGTGAGTGGATCACTTGAGCCCAGGAATTTTAGATCAGCCTGAGCAACATGGTGAAACCCCATCTCTACTAAAAATACAACAAATTAGCTGGGCATGGCAGCACGCACCTTTAGTCCCAGCTAGGCAGGAGGCTGAGGTGGGAGGATCACCTGAGGTCGGGAGGTCAAGGCTGCAGTGAGCCATGATGGCAACACTGCACTCCAGCCTGTGCGACAAGAGTCAAACTCTGTCTCAAAAAAAGAAAAAAAGAGAGAGAGACAGGAAAAAGAATTAATGGAATAACCCTTAAGAAAACATTCTATAGTTACAAATGGAACTATTTTGTGAGCTAGTATTATCGTGAATAAGAATAAACTAGGGCCAAAAAATGCAAAACTAAAAAAAAGCAGCAGCTACATATAAACATTCATTTGGAATATGAACTATAATTGAACATGTTAAAATAGAATTGTTTTTAAAGCTTCATATGCATTATTGTAATATTAAGCTTTATCACTATCGATAGTATCATACTGGATTACAGTTAGGAAAAATACCATTGTTTCTAACATGGCCGATGTTCTTTTTAAAATTTCTGAACTCTGTTGCAGAAGGCAACAAACCAAATCAAGTATCTGAAGTTGTTAATGCCTTCTCTGTCAAATATTCATAGCTCTAAAAGCACAGGACGATAATTAGCTTGCTGGACTGAGAGGAGAGATAAATGGAATGCCTTCTGCAGGATGCAAAGCTCACATGAATAACACTGGTAGCAAAATCTTCCAGTTTTCAGTACGACTATAACAAAATTCAAAGCCTTTCTGATACCGTATGTTTTGGATGTGTTCTTTTTCTTCCCTTCCTGTAAGCTCTGTCCATGGTGTTGAGAAATTTCATGATTCTTTATGTGGACACTGATAGAGTCTGGAGTCTGTGATGTACAGCTCTATTTTTTTAGCTGTTTTCTGCTATACAAGTATAATATGAAACACTGTACTTCTAATAGTCTGTCCTGTATCATCTTATATTTTTAAAAATGAGATTTGCTTATTTAAAAGTACATATTTCTTTAGTTTATGTATATTCTTTGCTCAAAAGTAAATTTCCTGTAGACATATGTTGTATTAGTCCATTTTCACACTGCTATAAAGAACTACCTGAGACTGGATAATGGATAATTTATAAAGAAAAGAAGTTTAAATGACTCACAGTTCTGCATGGCTGGGGAGGCCTCAGGAAACTTACAATCATGGCAAAAGGAGAAGGGGAAGCAAGGCATGTCTTACATGGCGGCAGGAGACAGAGAGCAAGAGGGGAAGTGCTTACTTTTAAACCATCAGTTCTCATGAGATCTCACTCTCTATCACGAGAACAGCAAGGGGGAAATCCAGCCCCATGATCCAATCACCTCCTACAAGGCCCCTCCTCCAATATTGGGAATTACAACTCAAGATGAGATTTGGGTGGGACATGGAGCCAAAGTATATCATATGTGATCACTCTAAATGGAGGGCCAAATAAGTACCCTTCTCAGCTGAACTGAAATGGCCCTGTAATTCTAACAGGAAAAGAGAGAATAATTTCCATGATAATTCATGACAACTGGCATTTTAAAACACAAAAATGAAATTCTTCCCTATTGAGATCCCCTAAGATGTTGTCTTCCAATGTTAAAAAGAATTAATGTAGATAGTTACATGTAATTCAAAACTAATCTAGTGATATTTTACTAAAAATGTTTATTTTTCACAAAAATATTCTCAGGTTCAACTTTTTAAAAAGATATTAAAAGAATATAGACATCACTATCAAATCAATAATTTTTAAAATTAGATGAAATATTTACCTGACTTTAAATGATACTACAAGGCTATAGTAACCAAAACAGCATGGTACTATATAAAAATACACATATAGATCACTGGAACAGAATAGAGGTCCCAGAAATAAAGTCACATACCCACAACCAACTGATCTTTGGCAAAATCAACAAAAATATACAATGGGGAAATGATACCCTATTCAATAAATGGTGCTGGGAAAAATGGATAGCCATATGCAGAAGAATAAAACTGGACCCATACATCTCATTGTATACAAATATTAACTCAAGATGGATTAAAGATCCAAATTAAGACCTGAAACTATAAAAACCCTAGAAGAAAACCTAGGAAAAACTCTTCTGGACATTGGCCTAGGCAAAAAATGTATGACCAAGTTCTCAAAAACGCAAGCAACAAAAACAAAAAGATATAAATAAAGGCATCTCTGATCATCTTGTACATTTAAAAAATGAATTTTAAAAATTGAAAATTAATTTTAAGATGAGTTTAAAAAATGAGACTCAAATAAAATGGAAGAAGTGAGAGAAATATCTCAAACCACAGTCCAAAAATACAAAAAGATAAAGTGTATTTGATAAATTTTATTCATTAAATATAAATTATTTATTAAATTAATAATTTTTATTTATTAAATAGAATTAGAGCTGCCACAATGAATTAGCACATATTTGGTGACTTAAAGCAACCAAAATGTATTCTCTTGTAGTTCTAAAGACCAAAATTCCTAAATTGAGGTGTTGGCAGTGTAACCTTGCCTCCAAAACTCTTTGGGGGAAGGTTTCTTTGCCTCTTCCTTAAGGAACTTCTGGTGGCTCCTTATGTTTCACTCCAACCTCTGCTTTCATCTTCACATGGTCTTTTGCCCTGTGCCTGTGTCTAAAATCTCCTGCTCCTCTCTCCCTCTTATAAAGACACCATTTATTGATTTAGGGCACTCTAAATCCTGAATCTTCTCATCTTGAGATTCCTAACTGATTCTGCAAAGATCCTATGTCCAAGTAAAGTTACATTCTCAGGTACTAGGGGTTAGGACGTAGATCTATCTTTTGGGGGCCACTATTCAACCTGCTACAACGTCTTAAAATAGGAGACTGTAAGGATAAAAAAACAGTGGTGAGCAATAAACCTTGGGTACTTACAGAGTGCTGAAAATATGCACTGTAACTGCTAAACAAGAACTTTTGAAATAGAAGACAATTTTTGGAATACTGCAAGGGAAATTATAATAATAGTCTAGAACTAAAAATACTAGTCTATCTCAGCAAAACCCAGGAGTAGAAGGGAGAGAGAGAGTTAAAGGAAGTGAAAATAGTTCATACTGCTCACTTGTTGAATGGAAGATAAAAGCAATGGGAAAATAGAACATCTTGATGAAGAAGTAGTTAGAAGCTTATTTTCACATATCAGAGAACTAAGTGCTAGATCATGAGTTCCAGAAAAAGGAGGAGAATTTTCTGTACTTTAACAAGAGGAAAGAAGGACATATGACAACTTGGACAACATACTCTTGCACCAAAAAGGAAAGCAACACTGTGAAGTAAGTAGTAATATAATAAAATGGAAGAAATAAAGCATATCAAGTATATCACTAAAATGGCAGCTGTACCAAAATTATTATATAAATCGAATATAATTGGATTTTAAACAGGGATTTTTTTGAATGATAAATTTCAATAATCTTAGAATTCATATGGAAAAGTGAATGTCCCAGGGAAGAGGTAAGACCTTACTTATCTATGAAGACATATATAAAACCACTGAAATCACATAAATACATGTATAGCTGCTGTTAGAAAACTAAAATCAGAGAAACAACATAGAAATTTGAGATATACATGAGAATACAGGATACATGAGAAGTTAATATTGCAACAAAGTGGGTACTTCACCCTTCGGAAAATTTATTAAATAATGATGCACAATTTCTTATCTACTAAAAAAATGAAGCTGAACACATATCACACAACATATTCCAGATTTAAATATAAATATAAATAAAATATAGGAATGGGGAGATCTTAACTAAGAATATAAAACTCAAATAATGATAAAGAGACACATTGATTATATAATATTTAGTAATATATCAACAATACTGTAAACAAAGATGGTAAACAAATAAGAAAAAATTATTTCCAGCATAGAAGAAATATAAATAATAAAGACATATATGATATAAATAGGACTTCTAAACATTGACCAGAAAAACAAACAACCCAATAGAAAAATAAGTAAAAGATATGACTAATCAATTCCCCAATATTGATGGGGATGCCATTAAAAGAATGTTTATTGTATAGGTGGCATAAATGGGAACTCTTACAATATGTGTGGATATCACTCTGGTACTATCTACTAGATAATTCCACATAGCCAACCCACTCTTAGAAATCTACCACATTAAATAAATGCCCAGTATGTATGTGCTATGGATTGAATTGTGTCCCACCAAAATTAATATGTTGAAGCCCTAACCCCCAGTGTGATGGTGTTTGGACATGGGGTCTTTGGGAAGTAATTAGGTTTGGATGAGGTCATGAGGGTGAGGCTGTCATAATGGGATCAGTGCCCTTATAAGAAGACACCAGATCTTCTTCCTTCTCTCTCTCTCTCTCTCTCTCTCTCTCTCTCTCTGTCTCTGTGCGTGTGAGAGCGCAATCTCTTTATCTCTCTCTCTCTTTCTCCCCCATCTATCCTTGCAGGTACTGAGGAAAGGCCATGTGGGCAGGCAGCAAGAAGGCAGCCATCTGGAAGCTAGGAAGAAAATCCTTACCAGAACCCAACCATTTTGGCACCCTAATCTCAGACTTCCAGCCTCCTCGAAGAAAATAAACTGTGAGAAAATAAATTTTTGTTGTTTAGTCTACCCAGTATCTTCTTATGGCAACCCAAACTGACTTACACAGTAAGAATGTATAAACAAATATGTCTGTTGCAGCCTAGTTTGTGTTGGGAAAAAAATCTTGAAAAAATTGAATGCCTAATAAATTATAGTACCTCCACATCATGAAATACTTAGCAGCTATCAAAAAATAAGTTATTATATTAGAAGTATATGGCTGAATTGGGATTTATAACAGGGATTTTTAAGTGAAAATAATCTAAACAATATATAATATTTTCTAATTTTTTGAAAATTATACTACTATATGTTTTAAAATAAATAACAAAATTCCAAACGTGATTTATTGTCATCAGAGAATATTAGTAGATACCCTACAGCTTGAGAAAAATTGAGGTAAGATAGATTTAGGTAAAGTACATGTTAGGATATCATAAACCCAATTCTAGTATGCAGAGAGACAGAAAAGGAAGAGCCAGGTGAAAGACTTGTAAATTAGCAAAACCACACTAGAAAACAGGGTGGCATTTTTCATCAAATTGAAGATAAGCATATGACCCAGCAATTTCTCAACTGGATATAAACTCTAAATGATATCATGCCCTTGTATTCCAGGATACATATATATAAATGTTCACAGCACCATCTTGGCAATAGTTAATATCTGAAATAATTCAAATACACATCAAGAGTAAAATGGATCATCTAAATTTAATATGTTCATATATTTTAATTTTACTTAGCAGTGCTTTTCATAATGCATCATAATTACCTGAAGGGCTTGCAAAAACACACTGCTGCTCCCTATCCCAGAATTTCTGATTCAGCAGGTCTGTGATAGAGAGATTTCTAACAGCAGCAGGCTGATGCTGGTGGTCAAGGAACCATAGTTAGAGTATCATTTCTATAAAGTAATAAAAGTTAACATCTTCAGCCGCATCCAATAACAATAAATCTAACAAACTAATGAACAGAAGATAGAAGACAGCCGGGCATGGTGGCTCACGCCTATAACCCCAGCACTTTGGGAGGCTTAGGTGGGTGGATCATCTGAGGTCAGGAGTTCGAGACCAGCCTGAAAAACATGGAGAAACCCCATCTCTACTAAAAACACAAAACATGACAGGTGTGGTGGCACATGCCTGTAATCCCAGCTACTCAGGAGGCTGAGGCAGGAGAATTGCTTGAACCCAGGGGGCGGAGGTTGCGGTGAGCCAAGATCGCACCATTACACTCCAGCCTGGGCAAAACTCCATCTCACACACACACACACACACAAAAGATAGAAGACATACTTCCAAACCACATGTATTATAAACTAATTCATATAAAATTCAAGTATGCATAACTAAACTATGTTTTAGGAATAGAATTATAGGTGCTAAAACTAAAGAGAAGTATGAAAATAATTTTCACAGAAGTTGGCATAATGGTTATCTCTGGGGATATGGAATGAGATAGAAAAAGAAAAAGTCACACTGAGGGTGCTGAGTTCAGAAATTGTACTTTTTCTTTATCTGGGTAATGGTTACATAAATGTTGACTTTATAATTATTCTTTTTATTTTATTTTTTATTCCAATTATTCCTTATTCTATGTTTATGCAACCTTCCATTTTTATATCTTACTATAAAAAATATCAGATACAAAGCAATGATATCTTTACACATATTGGCTTGTAAATGATTGTATGAATAAGGACCAAGGTATGGAGGATACATATGCCAGGCATTAATATTGATTTTTGGTGCAAGTGGGAATAAGAAGGTGATATGGTTTGGCTGCATCCCCACCCAAATTTCTTCTTGAATTCACAATTCCCGTGTGTTGTGGGAGGAACCGGTGGGAGGTGATTGAATTGTGGGGGTGGGTCTTTTCTGCGGTTCCGACTGTTCTCATGATAGTGATCAAGTCTCACGAGATCTAATGGTTTGATAAGGGAAACGCATTTCGCTTGGCTCTCATTCTCTCTCTTGCCACCGCCGTCTGAGACATGTCTTTCACATTCTGCCGTGATTGTGAGGCCTCCCCAGCCACGTAGAACTGTAAGTCCAATAAAACTCTTTCTTTTGTAAATTGCCCAGTCTCAGGTATGTCTTTATCAGCATTGTGAAAATAGACTAATACAGAAGGGGAGACAATTGTATATTGTACGGTTTAACTTCTTACAAGAAATGCTCATTTGCTTTATAATTTTGAAAAAGTTGTCAAGCAAGGAAAATGCGAAGAAAACAGGAAAATTTGCTGGTAAGTTAACTTATCAGGCACTGTGTCTCTGGTCTACTTTCTTAATCCTTTTTCTTTTTTTGTTACCCACGTGATATAGCATATATTTAAAACTAAATGAACCCCTAATGTTTTCTTCTTTTTTTTTTTTGCTAGAGATGTAATTATAATCAGAATTAGTATAATTTAAAAAATTATATTTTGAGTACTTATGTTTAATAATTACAATAGCTTCATACATTCAGTACAAATAATGAGCAGAATACGAGCCAGTTACTGTGCTGAGGTGAGAAACACAGAAATGAACAAGAACAGGGTTCTGACACTTAAGAGCAGCAGCAGATTAGAGGGTGACCAGCTTTAATCAAATGTTGAAGCAAATAAGGGTAAAATAACCATCTCTAAGTGTGTGCCACGTTTGAGTGAACAACCCAGAGCTCGTAAAGCACTTTACAAGCAAGTTCTCCAGTAATTAATGCATAAACCCCAACCCGGTAGAGTGGCCATATTGTCACTTTTGTTTTGTTTTGTTTTGTTTTATTTTGTTTTGTTTGTTTTTGAGACAGGGTCTCCCTCTATCACCCAGGCTGGAGTACAGTGATATGATCACGGTTCCCTGCAGCCTCAACCTCCTAGGCTCAACAGATCCTCTCACCCCTGCCTTCCGGGCAGCTGGGACTACAGGTGCACACCACCACTCCAAGCTAACTTTTTGTATTTTTTGTAAAGACAGGGTTTCGCCATGTTGCCCAGGCTGGTCTTGAATTCCTGGGCTCAAGTGATTCACCCACCTCAGCCTCCCAAAGTTCTAAGATTATCAGCATGAGCCACCACTCCTAGCCAGACTTAAAGACATTAAATCATTACTCAAACCAGTGTTGCTATTAAGTGATTACAAAGATTCAGAGGTTCACCTGACAACAATGCCTTTGCTATTAAACTGACATGTTTTACACTTAAGTTTACATTTTACCCAATACATGATCTAGTCAGGTTGTAAGCATCATAGAACTGTGCCTTTTGGAAGGAGGTTGACAAATAATCATAAAATATTTCAAAATATATATATATATATATATATATTTTCTTAATATGAATTTACTGACTAGTTTGCTTATAGTCTCTGATCTCTCTGGTTCCCTCTTCTAACAGCAGTCAGAGTTGAGTTATCTACAGAAAGATCAGATTGTGTTTTGACTTGAGCACTTACCAACTAAAACAATTAAATAACATAAAAATACTAGGTAGTCTCTAGCATGTGGCAAGTGATCAATAAATGTTAATTTCCTTTCCCCTTCCCTTCTCCAAACCCCTATTTCTTAAAAATAAGAGCTAAGTGCTTTGGATTGATATTCAAGGTCTTTAGATGCTCCACTCCCCACTCTACCTCATCTACCTTTCTAAGCTTACTTTTAATATAACTCGCCATGTTCTGTGGAGCTTTGTTCACTCTTTAACTCAAGCAGCTCCCTCAGCCAGGAATGTCCTCTCCCTACTTTGCCAGCAATTAGAATTGTATGCAGTCCTTAAGATAAAACTTCGGTACTGTCTCCCTTCCTCAATCAGTTTGCACTGCAGACATTTCCAAGTTCATCACTCTCTTTCCACATCCCTGACTTTTCGTCATTCTCTGCTTCCTTGTAGAATTATAGTTCTCATAAATTGCTTTTATCTCTATACTCCTGCCTTGCTAGAGAGGAGATGTTAGACAACAAATGCAAAACCCTAAGTACAGGTACCATATTTTGTTTCTGGATTCCTCACTACAATATAATTAAATTGAAGTGATTGGTATATGTTTTGACAAAATACAAATATTGTCAAGTGTTGATTCAGTAATGTGCCTAGTAATGTTCAGTTTGTAACTATAAGTCCATTATGGAGCATTTCTCCTTCCCTCCCTTTTATTCATTCCCTCATACATGTACATATAAAAATGTACACGTCTATTTGTATATGCTAACATGGATACATATCTGCCTCCTTTATTAGATGCAGTTTGTTGCACACAGGGGTTATATACATATGCATCGCTCCCGTTCCAATGCAGAGTACTAGACTGTGCACATGGTAGATACTCTAATTATTTGGTTATTCTTTCACTCAATCAACAAATAGCTGTAGGTGCCTACCCTGTGTGAGGGCTGCCCTAGGTATTTGGAATACAATAATGAACAAGACAGATACAGTTTCTGCACTTAAACTATGTCAGTCATGGCATTTTTCTTACTCTAAAGTAGTGCACATGTTTTGAAGTCTCTTTCATTTTTTTCCTTTCATTATACCCAATCAACAATCTGTCACTAGATTGCATATTATTTGTCTACTCTGAAACCTGTCACTAATGCAACCTTTATCCTTAATTTTCTAGCATCCTGATTACCTTGTATCTGCATAAACTCAGCTTATCTTTTCCAAAATGAATCATGGGGCTTTAGTTTCTCCCCTAATCCTATTTTTCATATTGATGACTGGCAAATCTACCTTAAACACACAATGCTGAACATAATGAACTTGGAATCATTGACTGATTGACGAGTTGATGTTAACCTCACCATATGCAGTGTCTCCCTACTTTGTTACATGACATTTACATTCTTCTGTCCAAATTTCAGGGACATGGATAATCTAGTCCTGCTAATTTTATACTTTATTACTGCCCAGTTACTGACTAGTCACTTCGCTGTCCAAATACAACATGTTCATTCATTCAATTATATGACAGATATTTTTCAATTCATGGCTTTCTGCTCTTGCTTATTGCTGATTCACTAAGAAAGCTACTCATATGAAACATCTTTCCTTTTGTTCATCCTTTCCCTAAACCGAACAGTCTTTCTCAGTTCTATTCCAGAGCTAACATGTTTATGAAATCTTAGATCAGTCTATTCCATAATGTCTCTCCTTTTTAGTGATTTTGTGCTACAAAGCTTGTTTTTTCTTTGAGTTTTTGATTTTTAACATTTAGGTTTGCCGTCTCAATCAGATTACACATTTCATTCATTCATTCTACCAACCTCTCTAGGGCATATACCATGTGCCAGGCACTATGCTAGATACTATATACAAAAACATGTCTAAAACATAGTCCTTGACTTTCAGAAACTTCAGTCTGGAGAAGGAAAGTTTCAGACACATGATTATTTTAATATATTACAATGTGTGCTGTTTTTGAATTATTTTGCCAGAGATCATATCTATTTGACAAGAGAAGCTCATTCTACACATAATGTTGCCTACTGATGGACATATAATATGCCTTGACATATAACCACATCTGAACTACATTCATCTGAACTACAATATATTCTGAATTCATAAATACTTAAGTTGTTACTATTTTAAAAGACTAATGAAGATAAAATATTTACAGATATATAAAAATATTTCATTACCTGGAGATAATTACACATTTTATTTCATTTATATGATAGCATGAAAGTCACTGAATTGAGCAAACATAGGCGATCTTAATAAGAGATGCAGTAACAAATGTGAGTACCTTTGCAAAAATAACCTTGAATCAGACTGTTATGGGATTAGTAAATATTGTAAGAAGACCTTAATTTTCCCCGTTGACTAAACTTTCTGCTGAATTATAGCCATTTTGCAACATAATAATACTTTAAGTAGGTAAATCAGCCTATTGATTTTTTTTCTTCACCTGTATACATAGCAGGTATAACAATAAATATTGGCTGATGGTGACAGTGTATATGTGGATTACAAACTGTTAGTAATAATTTGGAAAAGATTAAATATTCTCATATGGATCTAAAGTAACCTTCCAATTTTAAGCATGACATTTGGCCCCCAGGTGATACACATCTATAAGAATATTTATTGTACTATGAAGATATTTACTATCAATCTGGGAAAGGCATCATTACATATTTCAGAATCAAGTTAAGTCATGAGTTTAATTTCACTGAAGTCACAACTAATAACCTGACCATGAGGTGGTGTGGACACACCACGCTCTGCTTTACATCATGAATTAGGACTCACTCTCCCTTGTTTGAAGACAGAGTGCATACATGCATGCAGTCTCTTTTGCTGAAAGATAGAGTTTATAGAGACACAAATACATTGCTTGTGACAATGCAGAGTATGGGAAAAATTAGAATACATGAACTTCCAACTAACCTGATTTTACTCGTTGTAATCTCCAGTCTGCTAATGATGGGCTTCAGAGTTTGGAAAAGGTGGATGAGAAGCCAACAGGAGATGTGTCTTGAACTACTTTTGGTTCATAGTCACATAATATTCTAATATTTTATAGCAAATATATATTTAATAATTAAGTGTCTTTTTTATTTATATAATTCTTTCCTCTGGGGTATTTTTTCAAAATGTATGACTCTTTACATTCGGAATTCCTCGAAATTTAGAAAGCAGTATTTTTGAACTGCATAGCTAAGGTATATTAAATTTGGCCACAGTGGCTCTTATCATGCCCAGCTAACATACTGAATGATGTTTATCGTGTACTACTAAAATATCAGCCTTTACAACAAGTGAAAAAAGAAGCAAAATATGGAATATTCTTCTTTTATATTTCCATCGGTAACTTTCTTATATTTATTTTATAATTTTATTTGTTTTGGAACTCACGTGCAGAGACTTGGATTAATTATACCCTTCATTTCATCACACATTATCATCATTGGTATTTGGAGAACCCATCCAAACTTCTTTCAGCTCAATCACCAGCAGTTCAGGAGAATTTCCTTTCAACCACACCCGCACCATCACTTGGTAATATCCAACTCTCTACATTTGCCCATTTAAAGAGTGAAATAGGAGAAGAGCAATTTTTACCTGAAATTAAGATGATGGACCTTGACCCTAAACAGATTTTGTGGCACATAGAATTTGAGGGTGATCAATTAATATGGGAAGAGTTTTAACAAATATTTTTAAAATTTTAATGAAATTTCTCATTATATAGAAAGAATATCCATAGTGAAAATGGAATTTGGATATTCCTAGAAAACATGTACCTTTTATTTTTTGGTCAAAGACTCATTTTTCATGAGTACTTTTCTTTCTTTCTTTTTAATTGCAAGCAGTTTAAAGTACAGATAAATTCATTTAATGAACATTAATCTACTTTACTGATACTTGAAAATTTCTAGTGACCAAATGAAAATAAAAGAAATAGAAACAACAATTATATAGTTTCTAAAAGGAAAACCATATTAATAGAGTGAAGGTCTTTTTCTTCCTCAAGTTCTTTTCTGTACAAACACTGGTCTTGAAAGCATAAGAAAATGAGGTAAAGTGTTGTATTTTAAAACTTACACACAATTAGCAAGAGGTTTTAGTGCATTAAAAATGCCAACTAGAAAAATGCTTTAGATTTTAAAATAGCTACTGCATGGCAAGTAATTAGGAAAAATACTTTGCAAGGAGTTATAGATTAAAGACAATTATTTAGTAATGAACAGAAACAACTATCTAAAAAGACTCATTTAATTGGTTTGACATTTGAAACCAAAACTCTAAAGACTGAGAATTTTAAATCACTCTGTGATTAAAATAGAAGTTAGTCTTCTGAACTAATTTAGCTGGAAATTATTAGAAGTGTCTAATGGATACAGGATATAATGAAGTTAGCATTTGTGTTTTCGTGAATGGATAGAGAACAAAAATGGATTTGTTGCAAAAAATAATTTACTGTGTAACTGTGATCAACTCTGCTTGTCCAACGACTAGTTCTGAGAGATAATATTTACAATTTTGTTATATCATTTGACCTATGCCATTAAGCACTAAGTTTTTTTTTTTTTTTTTTTTTTTTTTTCGAGACAGGGTCTCACTCTGTCACCCAGGCTGGAGTGCAGTGGCACAATCACAGCTCACTGCAGCCTTAACCTCCCTGGGCTCAGGTGATCCTCTCACCTGAGTCTCCCAAGTAACTGGGACTATAGGCATGTGCCACTGCTCCCAGCTAATTTTTTTATTTTTTGTAGAGATGAGGTTTCATCATGTTGCCCCGACTGGTCTCAAACTCCTGACCTCAAGTGATCCCCCCGCCTAGGTCTCCCAATTGCTGAGATTACAGGTGTGAGCCATGGTGCCCGGCCAATAAGTTTTTCTTAACCTGTTTTATGGCATGTTGGGGGCCTAGGGGAGGGAACAACTTAAATTTCTTCTCTCAGATCTCTGTAGATTGATGATGGTCTGAAGATTTTTAGGCAGGTATAACTAATGTGTAAAAAATAGTTTCTAGTATTCTACAAATACTGCAGGAAAAGTGCCAGAAAGAGACTGTGAATTTGCTGTGTTTTATTATGCTAATGTAGCTGCAGGCAAATTCTATTTCAAACTGAGGCCAAAGTGCCAGATCAATGCAGAGTAATCCTTCTGCAAGGCAAGAATTGTCACTTTCTAACAACATCAGTAAGCTGAGGCTATCCTTACTGAGCAGCCATTATAAAATAAAACAAAAAAGAAATTGCCCTGGCTAATCATGAAATGTCAGTCTTTCTCTCTGCTTTTCTATCTCCATTCCTTTCTCCTCATTCTCTGACTTCAAACAGGAAAGGAGGAACTAGCCTGTCATCAGGACTGATCTTTTTCCCTCTTCTTATATGAACCAAGAGGCTAGAAAGGATGGTTGTCTGATTACATTTAGCATTTCAGGTCTTAGCTTGAATTCCAGGACAGGAGCAAAAAACCCATTTAACATTCTCTCATAAGAGAAAGATGAGATAGACCTGAGAATGAAAATAGCTTGATTAGCAAGAACAATTAATGATGCCAAGAATAAATTTTTTTGTAGTTTATAATAGGAAGGATAGGAGAAAAAGGCAGAGAGAGATCTATTAGCATTCTAAAACTTTACCATGGTAATTGAGTAATAGCACATACGCAATTCTTCATTTCCTAGTAAGAATATAGGTTAAATCCAGAGTTCCTTGTATGCTAATAAAAATGATTTTGCAGTTGCAAATGGCTGCGGTGTATAATGCAATGGGCACTTAGGGGTAAGGATACACAGAGAAGGGAGGATTTTTTGAGTGAATTTTACATATGAGGTATTTGGAGTAGAAACCACCTAAAATACCCCAGTAAAATGATGCAGAGAAGGAGCAGGGCAAGCCCGTGAGATAGCACGGGATTACTACTGCCAGGGAGGTGCGCTGTTCATATTTCTCTGGAAGAGAGAACCCGCTGTGAGGAGTGCAGTTAGCTAACGGCATCCACCAGCTGCACCATCAGGATCTGCTGCAGTTTGGGTGCTGAGACCCTGCTCTCCCCAGGATGTCTCCAGCCGTTGACTAAGCATAGTGGCCATTTCTGTCTAAGACAGGACACCTCTAATGGAACTATTGCTCTAGGAATCCCCCTTGGCCTGGCTGAGACTTTCTAAGAGCTAAAAGAAGTCTGAGCTTCTTACCAAATCTTGCTTTCCTCTCTTTTCACAAGTGGCAGGCATGCATTGCATCTGAAGACTCTCCCTGCCTGCTCCTGATTCCTCTTCCCAAGGATTTGTCCCAGTACATTTCTGACACTTGTAATTCTGTCCCAGTTTCTGCTTCCTGAAAAGCTTTAACAGACACAGGGAATGGTTTGACAGTGCTTGTTTTGTCAGAGGGAAAGTGTAGCGGAAGGTTCTTAATGATAGTGTTAAGGCATGTATTTATCATTTCAGTGCCCAAACTAAAAACCGTGTCTGAAATTCCGCTGTGTAGCAGTGTGATAGACTAGATATATCAATCACCTTCTGTACTGAAATTTAAAGAGCTGGATAAACTAGTTTTAAATATGCTCTTAATTCCACCAGTGACCTGGCATTTAGAAAGGAAAACTCGGAGACCAAACCCAAGTTAAAGTGGGAACTCAAATGCTTAAATAAAGCTAAAGCTAGCTTTCATCATGAGGATATTTGATAGGCTTTGTGAACTTGATCTTTGATTTTCATGACCATTCAGGATATAGGAGAGGTCATAAAGAACTAGCTGATAAAACCCAGGGCATGATAAAGTAAGGAAGCAATGTTTCCACATAAAGCCACCACATTATAAGAGTAAGCAAGAAATAAATATGCCACAGCCATTTGCCAGACCTGTAAAAGTGCCAAGGATTCTAACAAAAATTGCTTCTCTCAAACTCTGTTGATAAATTAAGAAAACATCTGTCCTAGAAAATGTGTAATGTAAATTCAACATTACGGCAGGTTGAATAAAAAATTCAACTTTGTGGCACATTTTTGGCCTGTATTCCCATTGATTAGGTGTTTGAAGAGCCTTGGGTCACAAATTTAATATGAGGTGGTCCCAGGTTAATATTTTTACGTGCTTGGAAGAAACAAACACAAAATTTTCAATAAGAAACGCCCCAGACCTTAAAAATTGTCACAAATAATGTTATGAGGTATGATATCATAGTAAAAAGTCACAAACACACTGGGAAAAGGCACCATGCCTGAGAACGTAGAGAAACAATATACTATAGAGTGAGACCAGCAAAGACTCATGATATAATTATCAAATAGAGAATATAGAATGTACTTTTTTAACAAGTTTGCAGAAATAAAAGGTTTTGAAAGATGAATAAATAGCAAGGATCCATGCAAAAGTTCAAGCATATCTTTGAATAAATAAAATTTAACATTTAGAAATGAAAGAGACAGTAACTGAAGAGAATAAATGAATTAAAAGATAAATCTGAAAAAATCAACTGGAATACAGCATAGAGAGAAAAAATATGAAAATAAGTGAAGCTACATGAAAGATACTCATGCAAAAATTTAGAGAGGAGTAGAATAAAAATGAAACAGATATAATATTTGAAAAGATAATGGCTGAGAATTTTCTGGAACTTATGAATGATGTAAGATTTAAAGCAGACCAAAAACCACAAATTTGTCTTTGGTTGAACTGAATAAATGTTGGGTAGATAAAAGAACACTTCTTGCAGATAATTATTGTTAATCTGAAGAACATGAAAGACAAAGAGATTTTAAAGCAGCCAGAAAAGAAAAGAAAAACATCTTCAAAGGATTTACAATTAGAATGATGGCTGACTTCGTTTGCATATGGTCGCTGCAGCACTATTTACAATGTTAAAGACATGGAATCAACCTAAATGCCCATCAACGATAGATTAGATGGCTGGATGTGGTGGCTTTATTTGGAAACATTGCTTCCTGACTTTATCATGCCCTGGGCTTTATCAGCTAGTTCTTTATGACCTCTCCTATATCCTGAATGGTCATGAAAATCAAAGATCAAGTTCACAAAGTCTATAAAGTCTATAAAGACTATAAAGAAAATGTGGTACATATACACCATGGAATACTATGCAGCCATAAAAAAAGAATGAGATCATGTCCTTTGCAGGGACATGGATGGAGCTGGAGGTCATTATCCTTAGCACAGCAACACAGGAACAAAAAAAACAAATATCACATGTTCTCACTTGTAAGTGGGAGTTAAAAGATGAGAACACATGGTTACATGGGGGGAACAACACATACTGGGTAAGTATATCAGGGTAATGAAATAATCTGTACAACAAACCACCAGACACAAGTTTACCTATGTAACAAACTGCACTTGTACCCCTAAACTTAAAAGTTAAAAAAAGGAAACAATAAAGTAATATATTTAAGTCCCTGAGAAGGGATAAAAGCTGGTTCTAAGCACCCCCCCCCAAAAAAAGGATGTAAACAACTAATAGTCTGTCGCTAAAGGAAATTCTAAAGAGTGTGCTCTAAGCAGAAGGAAATGTTCAAAATACAACATGAACAAAGAAAGTGCTAAATATTTAGCATGGATAAGATGCTAAATATTTAAATAGAATTAAATAAAAATCTCAGTTATATAAAGCAAAAATAATAATGTATTATGAAGTTAAAACTATAATAGGACTAAATTATCTGGCAATTATAGTGTAAAATTTAGGAGGAGATGATTAGAATTAAAGAGGTCTGAAGTCTTTTAGTTGTTCGTAAGAGTGGTAAAATAATGACTGAATTTAGGCAAAAAGTATGAGTAGAAATAAATTCCATGACATATTTAACACTTGTGGCAAACATTTCAATTGAAAATACTGGATCAAACAAACAAAGAGCTAAAATGCAGGCTAAAGCCACCTATAGACCATCTACCATAGACATATTTAAATATTTTTAAAGTTTAAATAAAAAGGATGAAATATGGCATATCAGGGAAATTTTAACCAATATAAACCTGAGCCATTTATACTAACGATAAAAAGATTGTACAACAAAAAATGCAAGACTTAAAATAAAGTCACCAGAAAATAAAATTTAAACTAGCAAGGAGTATGAGTTCTAACATATCTGAATTTAATAAAATAATCTCAAACAGAAAGCAAAAACTGACCAAAGGAAGAAACAGGCAAATCAACCATTGCAATGGATGCATTTAATACATTTCTCTCAGTAAGTGATAAACTAAGAAAAGAAAAATTTAAAAGAATATAGATTATTTGGGAGAAAAAAAACAAACCTCAAGGCTGACATAATGATATGTATGGACACTTACACCAAAAATGAGAGTTCACATTTATTTTTAACCACACAGAAAATGTTTACAAAACTCAAAACATAAAGAGACTTAAAGCAAGTCCCCCAAATGTAAAAAGATCTACCAATTAAGTGCAATTAAATAAAAAGCAAGAAGAGAAATATAACTAAAAAATTAAGCAACAAAGAAGAAAGCAACAAAAATCTACATATTTTATTTGTAAATGAATATGTTAAAAAGTCAGAGGTTCAAAATTAATAAACTAAGCACATAAGTTATGAAGTTAGAAAAATTATTTAAAAACACAAAAATAGAAATGTCATAAATTAATACAATTAAAATAATAGCATGAATAAAAAAACAAATATCAATTCTTAAAAATGGTTAATAAGGATGCATATCTCTACAAGATTAACTCATGGAGAAAAATAGCTTGAAAAACAAATGTAAGTAATAAAAAAGTTTTACTAGACATACACAGATGAAAAAAGTGGTATTTTAAAAATTATGCCATAAAACTAGGAAATTTGGCTGAAATTTGGAAATTTGGCTCAAGTGCATAAAATTCTATAAAGATACAAGTTATCAAAAATTAGATTAAAAAGGAATGAAAACCTGAATATATTTACAACCTTCAAATAATTAAATAAATATCTAAAAATTTTCCCACAAAGGAAAAACTAGCCCCAGATAGATTAATCTCTGAGTCCTTCCATACATCCAATAAACAATTTCAGATTTACACAGTCAAGTGTAAAGTATAGAAAAGAAGAAATTGATTCCATCTCATTTCCTGATGCTAGCATGATGGGTTAAAATTTGATAAGGGCAGTGTGAATAAGGAAAACTATAGGATCATTTCAATTGTAAATATGAATGTAAAAATCTCAAACAAAATACTAGTAAATTAAATCCATATGTTCTAATGATATTCAATATTTAATATTCATTCATAATAACTCCCTTAACAAATTAAGAAAAGATAAAATAATGGATACTTATTAAAAATCTTACATCAAGCATTGCAATAACAAGCAATAGTAAAAATTAATTGAAAATACGTACCTTGAGAATAAAGACAGTAGTGCCCATCATTAGCAACTCTAATAAATATTATCCTAGAAAACCTAGCCAGGGCAGATTTTTATAGAAATTTCAAAACCTGATTAAGAGACATTAAAGTATATTTAAAATAAATGAACAGATATTCCATGTTTATAGATTGGAAGATGTAACAGCTACTCTGATGCTTCACCTGCATCTGCTCTTCAGGGCTGTGATAGTTAATTTTAGGTGTTAACTTGACTGGATTAAGGATACCTACATAGCTGCTAAAGCATTATCTCTGGGTGTATCTGTGAAAATGTTTCTGAAGAAGATTTTATTGTCGGTCAGTGGACTGAGTGGGGAAGATCTGCCCTCAAAGTTGATGGATATCATCTTATTGACTGGGGACCCAATGGAACAAAAAGACAGAGAATTGGAAAATTTGCTTTTTCTCTTGGAGCTGGGACACACATCTTTTCCCTTGGACATCAGAACTCTAGGTTCTCCAGTCTTTGGATTTGGGACTTGTACTAGCAACCACCTAGTTTCTCAGGCCTTAGATTGAGAGTTAACGTCAGTGGCTTTCTTGATTTTGAGGCCTTCAGACTTGGCTGAGCAACATTCCTGGCTTCCTTCATTCCCCAGCTCTCATGCAGCTTATCATAGGACTTCTAGCCTCCATAATCATGTGGGCCAATTTTCCTAATAAATCCCTTCTCATATATCTATATTCTATTGGTTCTATCTCTCTGGAGAATCATGACTAATATAGGGACTAATGCACCCATCCACAGCTGCTGTGAATATTAGCTGCTACAGCTCATGGCTCTATCCCTTTTACAAATTGTCCTTTGCTGCAGGGAATTGCCTCACTCAAGGTTATGCCCCTTCCCAGTAGGCAGCTACATCAAATAATGGGTTGATATAGGTATTTAAAGGCCCATTCCCCTGCCTCAATTAGAGACAATTTTGAAGGACTATTCTGACTGTAGCGATCTTGATAGCATTGACGAGGCTTCAGTTGCAATTGCATTATATTGAAAGAAATTGCAGTTTTGAAACTGAGATTCATGAAAGCAATAGGAATAATAGGATTCTGAAATAAGGGAGGACAGGTGGCAGCAATTGTTTGGCAGAAACAAATTAGACACAGTTATTTTAGTAATGGGCAAGTCTGGAGTGGCGGCCAGGGGGTCACAACCTAAAGAGAGCTATGTTAACTGATAATAGATCATGATATGTCTAGAAGCAAGACGAATATAAAGCTATTGACTAATTTTTAATTTAAAAATGAAGAAATGGTTATCAGGAGCATAAGAGCAGCTCTACAATGAAAAGTCATCATTTTTGTACCTGTTCCTGGCCTCAGTCAGTTCTCTAACTTGAAACTCATTAATGGAGAACATGTGGACAGAGTATATGGACATCATGGGCTGGATTTATTCAGACCCACTAAATCATGAGATTGGATGGACCCAGCAGCAATTCATTCTAAGACATATATGATATCAAGGTTTAGGCAAGAAAAGAGCCAGAGTAAACTTCAGATGCAGGTGGCTCACTATGGTCAGTCATCACTATTACTCCAGGGGGCAATAAATAGCCAATGTTTGACTGATGTTGTGATATGAAGCCCTAGAACACTTGTTTTAATTTGGTACAGTTCTGAAAAGCCATTTCAGTTTCTTAGTTCCCATTAACACAGTGAAGAAGTCTCACTGGCACACAGGGCTTAAATATGACCTCAACAAAACACTGATGAGATAATAATTCTCTCTGACCCAAGGGTAACTCTTAGAAAGTCAGGCTTAAAAATGAAATCATCAACATTCTTAGCAGTCTGGAAGAATGTGTACATACCCAAGACTGTGGCCTCTATGCAGTAGTCAAAGAAGCAGTCTCCAAAATAGTAGGCCCTGAAAAAACACGGCACAAACATCCAAAATCCCAGAACTCAGATAGCAGATTCCAAGCCACACATATATATCCAATGATAAAGGGTAAGAATATAACTGGCTAAGGGGCTTAAGCAGAGCCTTTAACCAGTAAGTGGCTTATGCCAGTACAGGGGTAATCCCTAAAACCAGACCAAAAGATAAAAATAAGAGAAAAAAATCTGAGCCACAGTCATTGAAGAGTGCAGACAGCAGGAGAAACTATATAATTAGTTCAGCCAAGTCATTGAACAAATAACCAACCAAACAATAACCAAAACAACCTGAAGGGGGGTGGCTGAGTGGGAATCGGTATCCAGAGTTTTTATATATACTATCAAAAATGTTTATATTTTAACAAAGATTTAAGAGGCATGCAAAGAAACAGAGAAATGTGTTCTATGTACAGAGAATAAAACAGGCAATAGAAATTGTCTTTTAAGGAGCACAGATGGTGGATCTAGCAGAGAATAACTTCAAATCAACCATTAAAGATATAGCCAATGAACCAAAGTAAATGATGCTTAGAAGAATTAAAGGAAGATATGATGACAATGTCTCTTTAAGTAACGAATGTCCATAAACGAATTATTTTCAAGAACCAAATAGAAATTCTGGGATTAAAAAAAAGTAGTTGATATAAAAAATTTACTAATGGGGCTCAACAGTAGACTTTATCTGACAGAAGAAATAAAGAACTTGAAGATCAATCAAGAAGATAGATAGAAATTGTGTAATATAAAGAATAAAGAGACTAATGAATGAAAAAAAAATGAACAGAACTTCAGAGAAATGGAGGAAACTATTAAGTGCACAGTAACACAAATCATGGAAGTATGATGAGAAGAAAGAGACCAAAAAAAAATTCAAATAAATAATGGCTGAAAACCCCAAATTTGATGAAATGCATTAATGTATATCTGTAAAAAGAAGAACAAATTCCAAGTGTATGCTAAGTGTGGGGATCCACCTCCAGACACATTCTAGCAAAATGTTGAAAGACAAAGTGCAAATCTTGAAAGCACAGAAGAAAAACAACTCATCACATCATAGGGAACAAATAAGATTAATAGTTGACTTTTCATTAGAAACAATGAAAGCCAGAAGGCAGTGGAATAATATTCAAGGAGCTGAAAGCAAAATAATTGTCAAGTAAGCATCCAATATTCAGCAAAACTATTTTTATAAAAGAAGGCAAATAAAGACATTGCCAAATAACCAAAAACAGAGTATTTATTCTTATCAGACCTGCCTTACAACAGATACTAAAGGAATTTCTTCACACTTAAAGAAAAGACACCAGACAATAATTCCAATCCACACGAAAAAACAAAAAGTGCCAATAGAAATGTGAGGTAATGAAAAGTATCCCATACAGAATAGTTTTTACTTCTAAGGGAGAAAGGACTAGGATGTAATTAGAACCCAGAAGAGTTCAAAGGTTATGATTATGTTCTTAAACTAGGTGATAGGAACACAGGTATTCATTCTATTATAATTCTTTATACTTTACACATATTTTATAAACATTCTTTCTATCCATTCAATATTCATTAAAACAATAAAAACAACATTTTAAACTTTTCTTAATAAATGTTTTAAAGTTCTACAAACCCTAATCCTAAACAATCAGAGACCATACAAAATTGGCATTTGATGTATGTTTTATCTTTAGTTTGCCATTTTCTTCAGTTGATTTCATTACTTATATACTTCTTCTATTTTTTAAATTATTTATTTTTATTTTTTAGAGACAGGGTTCTCACTATACTGTCTAAGCTGGTCTTGAACTCCTGGGCTCAAGCAATCCTCCTGCCTCAGCCTCCCAAAGTGCTGGAATTACAGGCGTGAGCCGCCACGCCAGTAATTTTAATCATAAAAATTTTATGGGGTTATTTTTCAGTTCAATTAGATACATTGTTTTAATAATAAATTTTTGATAAACTCTTAGCATGTTGATCTCTTTCTCAACTTTAGCATGTTAACCTTAGTATGGTGGTTTCTTGTTTTATATCAGGTAATATGTAAACTAAAATAATAACCATCAACCAAGATTATATTTTGAAAACTGAATTAATGTATATAAAATATTTTGAATCTTTTATATACATTATATATTTTGAAATTTGAATTAATGTATATAAAAATGCTTGGATCACTAAATAAGATGTTTCTCTGAATATAAAATATTATTTGATACAGAACCTCAGTTTCTTCTTAATACTTCTTATTTAATACAACTTACAAGCTTTTTTGATGTTATAAGGATGTACATGTTTGTTGTCATTTATAAGCTAAATTCTTTATACCATTTTCAGAAAACAAATTTCAAAGGGGTAAATATTATTCCTATAAAAGTTTTTAATAAGTGCTTTTTTTTGAAGCAGCATCTAAATAAACACTATTTTGATGTGTAGGAAAGAATATGAATATAGGATCAACATGGAAAATGTTAAGATTGGTGAAGTAAATTTCCCTTTCTGTATACATTTCTTTTTCTCTTGGAGACAAGGTCTTGCTCTGTCCCCCAGGCTGGTGTACAGTGGTGTGATCAGAGCACACTACAGCCTCAAACTCCTGGGCTCATGTGATCCTCCCATCTCAGTGCACTACAGGCACACACTACCACACCTGGTTATTTATTTATTTATTTATTTTTTAGACCAGTCACTGCTATATTGCTCACGCTGGTCTTGATCTCTTGGATTCAATCCTCCTGCCTCAGCCTCCCAAATTGCTGGGATTACCAGGCATGAGCCACAGCACCTGACTTCATTTCTTAAGATATATTTTACAACCTGAACAATTTCACCCAAGTACATACAACTGAATGAGAAACTATCTTTTGTGTCTTTCCCCAGAAGCATAGAACTTTTTATATTTTTTCCTGGCTAACAGCTCTGACTAGAAAATTAACAAATCCAAAGACACAACACACCAAAAAACAAACAAACAAACAAAAAACCACCAATGTCCTTTCTTACTGAAAACTGGAACCTGGTGCCTTTATAAGGCATCAAAACAAATTTCTTAAAGCCAAGATGTCGGCCGGGCGCGGTGGCTCACGCCTGTAATCCCAGCACTTTGGGAGGCCGAGGCGGGTGGATCATGAGGTCAGGAGATCGAGACCATCCTGGCTAACAAGGTGAAACCCCGTCTCTACTAAAAATACAAAAAATTAGCCGGGCGCGGTGGCGGGCGCCTGTAGTCCCAGCTACTCGGGAGGCTGAGGCAGGAGAATGGCGTGAACCCGGGAGGCGGAGCTTGCAGTGAGCCGAGATTGCGCCACTGCAGTCCGCAGTCCGGCCTGGGCGACAGAGCGAGACTCCGTCTCAAAAAAAAAAAAAAAAAAAAAAGCCAAGATGTCTCCAAATTATCTTTTGATTATATCTCTTTTAGATTTTCCAAAATTTAACTCAGGGTTTTAAGTACTACTCTAAACTGTGTTGATAATTTAATTCCTTTTTAATTTCCCTAAAGTAATAGGTACACTTACGAATATACATATTTCTACATAAAATAAAAATGAACTAGCTAGATTAACCAATTGACTGATTCCACTGGTGTTAAATTAATTATTTAAATTCCAGGGAGGCAAATATTTAACACATACCTTATATTAGGAAACATCTTTTGAGAGGAAAATAAATAGCTTACATACCCTTCACAAACTATTTTTTTCAATTCAAATCCTTTTAAATATTAAGAAACACCATGTTCTCAATGATTTAAATGTAAATAGCCATGTGACATTACCTCCTTATATTAAGTCAAAGTGGAAAATTTAACTACAAATATTGTGATCAGTGGATAAATAGTTATGTATCCTTAGGCTCTTGGTCATTTTTTATCACATTGCTTAAAGGCACAATCCAATGACTTTTAAGTCCTAATTAACAGAAGTTTCTGCGTGAGTCATTCTGTTCTGAAAATAAAGGCATGATATCATAAAGAAAACAAATTACTGTATGTATAACTAGGAAATCAACCATCAGAAAGAGCAGATAGTTTTTTGACATATTTGGACACTCAAACTGAGGTATTTTAATTCTTACATTTTGTCCTTCTGTTTCCCACATCTGTCTAATACAGATTAGACACTCTTCCTAACAGTAACATGTCAAATTCTCTCCTATTTGGTTTGTAAGAATGTATCGGTTGTCACTTTCAAAATGGAAATCTGTTTTTGCTGATAATAAAAGTAACACAATCACTTTAATATTCATAGATATATGAAGTCAAAAATGAATTTCTCAACAGTTTAAGTTTAATAAAAATTATTCAAATAATTAAAATTATTCTAATATTCTTAAGAAAAGGTCTGTGCTCCATATAAAGGGACATACTGAACTTTAGAAAAAGTAAATAGATGTTATTTTTAAATGTCTATGCTAGTAGTTTGAAAGGATAATAATCTACCAGTTATTGTAATAATGCTTAGAATTCTCATTCTCTATAATGTTATTTTGTAAAATATATAGATACTACAGTATATGCATACACACACACACACCACAAAATCTTATGCAGTACATAATATAAACATGTAAACCAAAAATTATCTGAAACAGGTCTCAATGCCTGTAATCCCATCACTTTGGGAGGCTGAGGCAGGTGGATCACGAGGTCAGGAGTTCAAGACCAGCCTGGCCAAGACGGTAAAACCCTGTCTCTACTAACAACTACAAAAAAATTTAGCTGGGTGCGGTGGCAGGCACCTGTAATCCTAGCTACTTGGGAGGCTGAGGCAGGAGAATCACTTGAACCCAGGCAGCAGAGGTTGTAGTGAGCCAAGATTGCACTACTGCACTCCAGCCTGGGTGACAGAGTGAAACTCCATCTCAAAAAAAAAAAAAAAGAAGTTTATTTTGCCAAGGTTAAGTACATGCCCAGAAGAAAGGAACACAGAATCACAGTAACAGTCTGTGGTCTGTGCCTTTCTCCAAAGATTATTTTGAAAGCTTCAATATTTAAAGGGAAAAAGTGGGTTGGAAGGGAAAGATGGAAGGTCTGGTCACATTAATGAATCCAAATGTTGCAAGAGAAAAGGAGCAGGTAGGGAAATAGTCAATTATGAACTCGTCTTCAGTTCAGCATTCAGTAAGATAAGTCGAACATAGAGTAGCTACCTGTGGAGATATTTGGCCTTTTATCTATGTAGCTACCTGCGTAGGAACAAAACAAAAGGCAGTTTCTTGCATGACTCAGCTTTCAGCTTAGTTTTTTCCTTTTGGCACAGCGAATGGGGTCCTGATATTTTATTTTGTTTTCACATACTACATAAGACTTTGAGGTAGTCCAGAGACGAGTACTGTACGACAGATAACTATTTGACTCAATGCTTAAAGGGTTTCTATTTTCTCTCTTTTTATATTTCCTGATAATCAATCACAATATCATTGTACAATGATATTGGTGCTTCTTCTCAGGTAAAGTAATGGAATCAAGGCTCAGAATGAGTATAGCATCATCTGTTTACAGAGATGAGTGTCCCAGTTCCTATAATAAGTTTTGAAAGACAATGTGAGTAAGATATTTTTTATTCTGGTCTCTTGATTACTTCTCTTAGGAACCTAGTGGAACAAACACACTCAGGGCCTCAGCAGTGTTGTGCTGTTAAGAGTGTCTTTTCTGTGTGACTGTTGTGTTAGACACCTAAGGTATTAGTTCCAGCACTATCAGCCTTCCCAGTTGTTTGATATATGGACTCATGAGAAATGAAACATTTCATGTGGGTAAGAGTAGTGATTAATGCAGGTCAAAATTCCATCTCACATGAGGCTTAAGAGAAGGTTTAGAGAGATTATAGCAATTCTTCTTCATGAATTCAACTTCCAGAGGTCAGAAATATTTTTGGAAACCTTTCATTTCCCTTTAACAATCATTATATGTGTTTAACCATAAATTTAATAAAAACTCTTCTGAATGTACATACAAATATAAAGCTCCTTTTGGACAAACTGTTAAAGCAGTAACTTCATTATTTACTACTGACTGTGCAAAGTAGTGATTATTTTCTTATAGAATCATTGTTAATGGTGGTGTTATTAAGTGTTGTCTCCTTTCAGCTTCAAGAATGCCTACATTTCGGATCTTAAGTCCAAATTCACACTGTTTTTATGTACTTGGTTCTTCTCTGGTATGAACAGGCTGGGTACCACCAGACATCTTACCTGCACACTGTCAAAGAGGGTACCAGAGGTAGGCGATGGTGTAAAACAGTGAAAAACTGCTCATGTCAGGAGCCTTATTTACAGGGTAGGCAATACCAGGCAGAATGTAAATGAAGGAGGTGACTGCTGCCAGGAACACCTGAAATCCATCCAAGACTGACAACTGTCCTATGTAAGACATAAGGAAGTGGCTCAGGTATACTGCAGAAAAAGGGCAGATGAAGGCCAGGGATAGCTTGTTGAGGACCACAAGAGAAGCTGAGAATGACCTGAGGCCTTTCTCCTTTGAAATAGAAACCCATATGGCTAAAACTATGAGCTTTCCTCTTGTGGAGTTAAGAACAATCTCTTTTCCTCATTCCCAGAAGCTCACACTTTCTGGCCTGACTAGGACACCAGAAGAATATTTCATTCTAGAGGGCCTGACGGGATGGTGCAGAAAATAAGAGGGGATTCTTTCTTCCCTGTCCTTAGAAGATCCTTTTCTTAGGAAAGGAAGTTAATATCAAAGGCTGGGAGTTTGATAATATGACCTCTGAGCTTTATCACTCCATACTAAAAATTTTAGATTTTTTGTTCTGCCTTTTTGTAGAAGCTGTTTCATTTTCATGGTCATTTCATAATCTTCCTCATAAGGGTTTATAGTTCTGCTAAATCTGCCCCAATTCCATGAATGGACTAAATGAGTGAATCTTAACTCCATTAATGGAGCCAAGTAAACCAGTGGTCCCTTGAATTCAGTCATATTTATTAATCTTGATGAAGCAACCATATTCTTTAGACACCTCAAGCAATTTTAAATCATAAAGGAAAGGTCCAAAAGATTGGCAAACACAAGCAAAAAGGAGATGACGAGAACAAATGATGTTATCGTTATTAAAGTTTCAATTCTATTTTTCTAAAAATATGGCAAACAATTAGTTCTTTCAGAATCTTAATATGTACTCTAATATTTTAGAAATTTAAAATTAAATCTCTTAAACAATTTTACCACAAATTTTTAAAATTTTAAGATGCAGGATGCTTTTAAAAATGAACCAGTTTTTAAGCCAAAACAAGGAGGAATGAAAAAATGCTATCTAAACAAGTGAAATTTCACATTTAAGTAAGATAAATTGATATAAAAGCTTTTATAAGACAATTAGGTTTATACATTTAGCCTCAAATATATTTTCCCAAAGTCCCTTTTACCCTTTAATGAAATGACTGGATATCCTATCGGCATTAACACAAAAATATGTGGTATTTAGTGGGATAAATGACCTAAGTTTTACTTTAAGATCCTGGTATAATGAGATCGAGTAATGCCAAAAATACTCTTTGAAATACAACATATATGACACTGGCTGGAAAGATGAACTGAATACTATGAAGTAGACTGAACTTAGAAAATGTGGAGAAAATTAGATTATAGTGCTTATAACCTAACCTGCTTGGTTGACTGGGCCAACAAATTCGCCTTCAAACTACTTAAAGCGAACCTACTTGAAAGTATTTCTGGTTTCAGCCCAGCAGCAAGCAGCTCAGAACCTGCCACTCTATCCTACCAAGTAAAATGCTGGACAAATTGAAAAATCAAAGATCTGTAAGAGAAGTGAGGATGCAGAGAAAATTGCTGCCCCAAAAGTTGAAGAGAGAGATAGTCAAATATGAGAATGAAAATTTACCACAGCAGAAAACCACAAGCAACAATCTTCATGGGATTCAGTGCTGGGTTTGGGAAGCCTAAATTGTAATAGAAAATTGCTGGGGACTCAATGTGGATAACTCTGGGAATTAAAAACTACAGGGAGACTATCATAGAAGGGCCCCAACAAATTTGTAAGTTTTGCCTCCAGGGGTTCAACTTAATTCTCAGAACATATATGAGAAAAAAAGATTCCATCATGCTTCTGAAATGGAGAGGAGAAAAGGAGTAGTTTGAAATATGCCAGAGCATTCTGTTCTTCTCAACAAGGTCTGCCCTAAAACAAACAAACAAGCAAAAACCTACAGAACAGAAAAACCCAGTGTGAGGAGACAGAGCAAGTTTCAGAACAAGATTCGTATATGCAAAAATGTTGTAATTATCACACAGGGAATTTAAAACAACAATGATTAATATACTAAGGGTTCTAATGAATAAAGTAGACAGAATGCAAGAACCAGATGGGCAACGTATGCAGAGATAGAAATTCAAAGAAATAACCAAAAAGAAATGCTAGAGATTTTAAAAAAAAGTACTGTAACAGAAATGAATACTTTTGATGGGCTTATTAGTAGATTAGACACAGTAGAAGAAAGAATCTCTGTGTTTGAGGATGTCTCAATAGAAACCTCCAAAACTGAAAAACAAAGAGCAAAAGACTGAAAAAGAAAAAAGAACAGAATATCCCAGAACTGTGGGACAACAACAAATGGTATAACACATGTTTAATGGGAATACCAAAATTAGAAGAAAGGAACAGAAGAAATACTTGAAACAATAACAACTGAGAATTTCCCCCAAATTAATGTCAGATATCAATCCATAGATACAGAAAGTACATAGAACACCAAGGAGAATAAATGTCAAAAAAACCTACACCCAGACATATCATATTCAAATTACAGAAAATCAAAGGTAAAGGAAAAATCCTGAAAGAAGCCAGAGGGGAAAAAACACCTTACCTATACAGAATCACAGCTAAAAATGACACCTTGCTTCTCAGAAATCATTCAAGTAAGATGAGAATGGAGTGAAATAAAGTGTTAAGAGAAAAAAGCAACAACGTAGAATTTTGTACCTGGTGAAATTATCCTTTAAAAGTGAAGGAAACTCTACCTACTGCAACAAACAAAAAAAAAAAGAAAAGAAAAGGTATATTGATTGGGAAGGAAAAAGTAAAACTTTGTTCACTGATGACATGATTATTTATGTAGAAAATCCAAAGGAATCAACAACTACAAAACCTCCTGGAACTAATAAGTGAATCTAGCAAGGTTACAGGATACAAGATTAATATATAAAAGTCAACTGCGGCCAGGTGCAGTGGTTCACACCTGTAATCCCAGCACTTTAGGAGGCCGAGGTGGGTGGATCACCTGAGGTCAGGAGTTCAAGACCAGCCTGGCCAACATGGCGAAACCCGGTCTTTACTAAAAATACAAAACTTAGCCGGGCATGGTGGCATGTGCCTGTAATCCCAGCTACATGGGAGGCTGAGGCAGGAGAATCGTTTGAACCCTGGAGGCGGAGGTTGCAGTGAGCCGAGATCACTGCACTCCAGTGCACTCCAGTGCACTATGCCACTGCACTCCAGCCTGGGTGACAGAGCAAGACTCTGTCAAAAAAAAAAAAAAAAAAAAAAAAGTTGATTCTTCTCTATATGATAGCATTGAACAAGTAGAATTTAAAATTAAGAACATGCTACCATTTACATTAGTATCCAAGAAAATAAAATATTTAGGCATAAATCTAACAACATATGTATAAGGTTTATATGAGAAAAACTATAAAACTGATGAAAGAAATCAAAAAATTAAATAAATGGAGAGATATTCCATGTTTGTGAATAGAAAGGCTTAATATGAGTACTGTCAAGACGTCAGCTTTTCCCAGCTCGATCTATAGATAGAATGCAGTTCCAATCAAAATCCCAGAATATATATATTTGGATATTGACAAACTGATTTTAAAGTTTATACAGAGAAGCTAAAACCCAGAATATTCAACACAATATTGAAGAACAACATTGGTGACTGACGCTGCCTTACCTCGAGATTTACTATAAAACTACATATAGTGGGACATTGTGGTATTGGTGAAAGAATAGAAAAATCAATCAATGGATTAAAATGGAGAACTCAGAGGTAGATCCACATAAATACAGCCAATTGATCTTTGATGAAAGAGAAAAAGAAATATAATGAAGCAAAGATAATCTTTTCAATGAATGGTGCTGGAACAAGTGCATGTCCACATGTAAAAAAAAAAAAAGAATATAGACACAGACCTTTTCATCCTTTACAAAAATTAACTCAAAGACTTAAATATAAAATGCAAAACTCTAAAAATCCTATAAGATAACAGGAGAAAAATGTAGATATAGATTTGGTGATGGCTTTTTTAGATACAATAGCAAAGGCAAGATTCACGAAAGAAACAATTGATAAGCTGAAGTTCTTTGAAATTAAAATTTTCTGCTCTGAGACATATAGTGTCAAGAAAATAAAAAAGAAGTCACAAAATGGAAGAAAATACTTCCAAAAGACAATCAATGACTATTATGCAAAATATACAAAGAATTCTTAAAACTCAACAATAAGGAAACAAACAACCTAATTAAAAAGGAGGCCAGGGACCTTAACAGGTACTTCACCAAAGAAGATGCACAGAGACACATACGAAAAGATGCTCCATGTCATATATCAGCAGGGAAATGCAAGTTAAAACAACAGTGAGATGTCACTATACACCTCCAGTACTAGAAAGGCCAAAATTCAGAACACTGACAACACCAAATGCTGACAAAAAAACATGAAGCAACAGAAACTGTCATTCATTGATTGTGGGAATGCAAAATTGTACAGCTACTTTGGAATACAGTTTGTCAGCTTTTGCAAAGCTAAACCCACTTTTATAATATGATCTAGCAATAGCACTCCTTGGTATTTACCCAAAGGAGTTGAAAACATGCCCATGCAAAAACCTGTACAGGGTTGTTTATAGCACCTTAATCTATAACTGCCAAAACTTGGAAGAAACCTTCAGTAGGTGAATGGGCAAATAAATTGCATTGCATCCACACAATTGAACATTATTCAGTACTAAAAAGAAGTGACCTATTAACTCATGAAAATAATGGAAATTTAAATGCATATTACTAAGTAAAAGGAGCCAATCTGAAAAGGCTACATATTGTATGATTCCAACTATATGACATTTTGTAGAAGTCAAAACTACCTAGGCAGTATAAAGATCAATAGTTTCTGGGGGCTACAAGAGGAGGAAGGGGCTAATAGGTGAAACACAGAGTATTCTTGGGGCAGTGAAAATGTTCTGCATGATTATATAATGGTGGATACATGTCATTATATATTTGTTCATGCTCATAAAATGTACAACACCAATACCAAGAGTGAGCCCTAATGTAAATATGGTCTTTCAGTGATAATGTGTCAATGTAGATTCATCAGTTGTAACAAAGGCACTACTCTGGTGGAGGATGTTGATAATTGGGATGGCTATACATATATTGGGGCAGGGGATATATGGAAAATTTCTGCACCTTCCTCTTAATTTTGCCATAAACCTAAAACTACTTTATATTTAAAAAGTCTTTAAAAAAATAAAAAACCAGATATGTCTTCAATAAAATCACTGGAGCTTAGAATTAAAACAAAAATCTGATACTTGGCTCAGATCAAATTATTCTCATCACAAACCTCATTCGTCCTGTTCCATAATTCCTCAATTAACAAAGCCCCTGGCTAATTCCAATCACCTTAGTCTAAGAATATCCCCAGGGGCTAATTTTCCTGGCCCTAAATCTCAGTTACTAAAGACTCTGGCACACGCTGTCAAATCTCCCAAATCATCCACTGCCTGTATCTCCACCTACAGCCTTTCACTTGCTGATGGCTGATCCTTGTCTGAATCCTGGACTCAGTTTTGCCTTGTATATCATCTAGTTGTTTTGTTTGTTTGTTTGTTTGTTTTTGCCATGAATTGTATCTTAGTTTCATTCTGCTTGACTGTATCCCTACTCTGTCCTTATATTTGACTAAAAGAAAAACCTCGTCTGGGTGCAGTGGCTCACGCCTGTAATCCCAGCACTTTGGGAGGCCGAGGCGGGCGGATCATGAGGTCAGGAGATCGAGACCATCCTGGCTAACACGGTGAAACCCCGTCTCTACTAAAAATACAAAAAAATTAGCCAGGCATGGTGGTGGACACCTGTAGTCCCAGCTACTCGGAAGGCTGAGGTAGGAGAATGGTGTGAACCCCGGAGGCGGAGCTTGCAGTGAGCCGAGATCGCTCCACTGCACTCCAGCCTGGGTGACTGAGCGAGACTCCGTCTCAAAAAAAAAAAAAAAAAAAAAAAAAGTAAAACCTCAGCTTTGCCCACATGTTTACATCCCTGAGCTAGTACTCACGTATTTTATTTAACATCCCCAGGCTGAATCTCAGCTATAATCTCGATTACCAATTAGAAACAACGTCAGATTCTCTCACCCAGAATTCTTTGTGTGCTTCATAATGACGCTGTTGCGGATAAAGTAACTCATCTATATATATGTGCTTACGTTTCTACAGGAAGGTATTGTTAAATGTATCATTATCAGAAAAGAATAAAGCACTCAATTTTATATGGCACTGTGTTAGATGCTTTAGAAAAGTAGGTTTGACAGCATTTGTTCCCGTCCATCAGGAAGTTGTTTATGATATAAAAAGATACGAACACACATAATTTTAAATAAGATTCTGTATTATTTGAGGAGAAAGTAATTTGTTATAGTTGTAGTACAGGGGTTTCAGTAGGGCCCACTAGGGATGACGGATGATAATATAGAATCCTCCTAATTCAAATAATTTATTAAATGTCTCTATAAATGTTTTTTAAAAGGACAGTGATCCATGGCACAGTAATAAAATAGAACTCTGCAATGGGTTCCTAAATATGCCATGCTGCTGATTATTACCTCCATTGTGTTTTTCTGTTTCCTCTTTATCATATTTCCAAAGAGTTTATCTCCTCAGTTGGTGGTCCAAGAAGTTAAATTGTATGATTAAAACCAAATACCATGTATTTTATACAATTCTGGAAAGAAAATAACAGATTCAATTAAACATTTTGCAGAGTTAGAGGAAATGAGCATTCTTGATGTATAAGCACTGTTTCAAGAATTATTTAATGCTTCTCCTACCAGTTTATATTTAGCAATGTCATTTTTCAATCATTTGTTACTTAATATTTATAATACTACCATGACAGAGTTGGATAAATAACTCCGAGTCTTCATTATATAAATATAGTCCCTGGGTGCAATGAAAACACTCAGTCACTTTTATAGATAAAATACTAGAGGATTGATTTGGCTATATAATTGTTATTCTATAGCCCAGGGGTCCCCAACCCCCAGGCTATGGACCAGTACCAGTCCATGGCCTGTTAGGAATTGTTTTTTCCACACAGAAGAAGGTAAGTGGTGGGTGAGCAAGTGAAGCCTCATCTGTATTTACAGCTGCTCCCCATCACTTGCATTACCACCTGAGCTCTGCCTTCTGTCAGATCGGTGACAGTATTAGATCCCTATAGGAGTACAAATCCTATTGTAAACTGCACATGTGAAGGATCTAGGCTGTGCCCTCCTTATGACAATCTAATGCCTGATGATCTGTCACTGTCTCCCATCACCCCTAGATGAGACCATCTAGTTGCCAGAAAACAAGCTCAGGGCTCCCACTGATTCTACATTATGGTGAATTGTATAATTATTTCATTATACATTACAATGTAATAATAATAGAAATAAAGCGTACAGTATATATAATGCACTAGAATCATCTTGAAACCATCTCCCCACCCTGGCCCATGAAAAAATTGTCTTCCACAAAACCAGTCTCTGGTGTCAAAAAGGTTGGGGACTGCTGCTATAGTCAATGCTACTGTTTAGTAATCAAGACTACAGAGAAGGATCTTCTTCTTTTTTTTTTTTAGGCTTATAAGGTAGACTAAAGTGTCAAGTTGAACCAGAAAAAGTCTTGGAATCTCTCTAAACCTATTCTGGTTTGGGGGATGCCTGAAAAAATTAAAAATAACAAAAAAATGGAGTCAAATCAAACATAGAGTAAATCATGAGTTACATTAACCGGTAAGAAATATATTAGAACTTCTGTTACTGTTGTAGCATGAAGAGGTCAGCAAATCCTCTTCATAAAAAAATTAGAATAAAGTTGGAAAAAGCTGACAAAAGTAACTATGTATGGTCTTAAGTTTAACCAAAGGCAGACAACAAATCAAGAATTGTTTATTCTTGAAAATCTGGTAATGTTTCAGATAAATACAGTGGGAAACTTCGAAGTGTTCATTACAAATATTTGCAAAGGAGTAAAGAAAACTGTGTTCAAAAATAAAAAGAAAAGGTGATGATTATGACTCTATACATAGAGAATCTCAATAGAGAAATAGAAAGTATGAAGAAAAACCAAAGTATAATTTAGAGCTTAAAAGTATAATAACTGTAATGAAAAATTCACAAGATGGGTTCAATAGCATATTTGAAATCACAGAAGATAAAAACAGGACTGGAAAGTAGATCAATAGAAATAATTCAACTAAAAAACAATGAAAAAAGCTGAAAAAAATGAACAGAGTCTCAGAAATGTTTTATATTCCATAAAGCAAATAAACATATGTGTAATGACAGCTGCAGGCTTTCATAACAAGAAGCTAGGGGAAAAAAAGAGCAAATAAACCCAAAGTAAGTAGAAAGAATTATATAATAAGGTGAAAATATAGCTAAGAAAGGAGAAAACAGATAAAGCCAATCAAACCAAAAGATGATTCTTTGAAAAGAACCAACAAACTTAATAAACTTTTGTTAGACTGATCAAGAGAAATAGAAGACATGGACTTTCAAAATCAGTAATACAGGAGGAACATCACTACAGACCTTACAGAAATTAAAAGAAAATATTAAGGGAGTATCATTAACAACGGTACGCCAACAAATTGAACAAACTAGATAACATGGACAAATTCCTAGAAAGACACAAATTACCAAAACTTTCTTAAAGAGAAATAGAGAAAAGTGGAATTAATAAATATATGCCAAGTAAAGACCCAGAACCCTAATGTTCCAATAAAAAAATAGTCCAGGCCCAGAAGAGACTGCTAAGGAAGAAATAATATTAATACTACACAAACTCTTTCAGAAATAGAATGGCAAGGAACAATTTTCATCCATTTTATGAGGCTAATATTACCCCAATACCAAAGATATTTCAGAAGAAAAAAACACAGTTCAAAATCCCTTATAAAAATAGATGTTGATGTCTTTTTAAAAAATTAGCAAACTGAATCCAGAAACATAAAAAAGATTATATACCATGAGCAAGTGATATTTATCCCAGGAATACAAGGTTGGTGTAACAGCCAGAAGTAAATTAATATAATTTACAATATTAATAGAATAATAGACCAAAAAGTGACTATTAAAATAGATGCAGAAAAAGCATTTGACAAAATCTAAAACTCATTAAAGATTAAAAAAACAAAAAACCTCCAAAAACGTCAAAGGCAACTTCCTTAACTTGACAAATGGGCATCTGAAAAAAACTCTATATGCAACATCATACTTAATGGTGAAAGACTCAATATGTTCTACATAAAATTGGGAATAATACAAGGATATCTGCCCTTATCACTTCTATCAACATTGTATATTGGATTCTTCTCAGTGAAACAAGGCGAGAAAACGAAATCCAAATTTTCTTTAGTCACACATGACATAATCTTGAAAAAATCCTAAGAAATAGATATCCAAAAAATATTAGAACCAATTATTTATTATATGTTTAGCAAGGTCACTGGACACAAGATTAATATATGCAAACTTATACACATATATATACTAGTAAAAATTATCCAAAAATGAAATTAAGAAAATTGCATTCACAATTGCATCAAAGGAATAAAATAAATTGAACAAAAGCATCACAAGACCTGTACATTGAAACAACAATATTTTATTGAGAAAATTTTTTAAAAAACTAAATAAATGCAGAGATGTATTATATTCATGGACTGGAAGTTTCAATAATGGTAAAATGACAATCCCCTCACTAATGGATCTATAGACTCAATGAAATCATTACCCAAGTCCCATCCATTTTTTTCTTGATAAATCAACAAGCTAATCATAGAATTTATATGAACATTCAAATAACTTAAAACAGACAATTTTGAAAAAGAAGAACATAAAGAATGCACATTGGCCAGTCATGGTGGCTCATGCCTATAATCCCAGCGTTTGGGAGGCCATCATGGGTGGATTTCTTGAGATCAGGAGTTTGAGACCAGCCTGGGCAAGGTGGCAAAACCCCATCTCTACAAAAAATACCAAAAAAAAAAAAAAAAAAAAACTAGCCTGGCATGGTGAGGTGCATTCATGGTCCCAGCTACTTGGGAGGCTAAGGTGGGAGGATCGCTTGAGCCTGGGAAGTCAAGGCTGCAGTGAGCCAAGATGTCACTTAGGTGACAGAGTGAGATCCTAACTTAGTACAAAGCTACAATAATCAAGACAGTGTGGTATGGTCATAAGGATTATATGGATCATTATAGCAAAATAGAGAATCTATAAATAAACTCACATTTATGGTGAATTGAATTTTGACACAGGGGTCAAGGTGATTCAATGGAGAAATGATTATTTTATCAACAAAAGGTACTGAAACAATAAGACATCCATTAAAATAAAGTTAACTTACTACCATTTCAAGCACCACACAAAAATTTTACTCAAAATGGATCTAGACACAAGAATTCGAAGTATAAAAGTTTTAGAAGGAAATAATGAAGAAAAGTTTTTGACATTGGGTTGGTGAAAAATCTTCTTAAGACAAATAAGGGCACTATGTAATGGTAAAATGCTTAATTCAATAAGGATATCTAACTAACCTAAACTATGCATCCAAAACAGGAATACCGAGATTCATACAGCAAGTTCTTAGAAAACCACACAATAATAGTAGGAGACTTCAATACCCCCATGGGCAATATTAGACAGATCACTGAGGCACAAAACTAATAAAGGTATTCAGGATTTGAACTCGACACTTGATTACATGGACCTAATAAATATTTACAGAATACTCCATCCAAAGAAAATAGAATACACATTCTTCTCATCACCACATGGCACATACTATACAATTGACCACTCAATTGGACATAAAACAATCCTCAGCAAATTAAAAACAAACAAACAAACAAAAAACCAAAGTCATACTAACCATACTCTCAGACCACAGGACCACAGCACAATAAAAATAGAAATCAATACTTATAAACTCACTTAAAACCATATAATTACATGGAAATTAAACAATCTGCTCCTGAATGATTTTTGGATAAATAATGAAATTAAGGCAGAAACTAAGTAACTCTTTGAAACTAATGGGAACAAAAATACATTATACCAGAATCCCTGGAACATAGCCAAGGCAGTGTTAAGAGGGAAGTTTATAGCACTTAACATCCACATAAAAAAGTTATAAAGATCTCAAATTAACAACTTAATATCACAACTAGAGGAACTAGAGAAATAAGAACAAACCAACCTCAAAGCTAGAAAAGAAAGAAATAAAATCAGAACTGAATTAAAGGAAACCGAGATTAAAAAAAACAGACACAAAAGATCAGCAAATCGAGAAGTTGATTTTTTGAAAGATTTAATAAGATAAATAGACCACTAGCTAGAATAATGAAAAAAAGAGAAGAGAAGATCCCAATAAACACAATTAGACATGACAAAGGAAGCATTACCACTGACCCCACAGAAATACGAAAAACCTTCAAAGACTACTATGAACACTTCCATGCACACAAGCTAGAAAACCTAGAAGAAATAGAAATATTTCTGGACATATATACCCTCTCAAGATTGAACCAGGAAGAATTTGAATCTCTAAACAGACCAATAATGAGTTTCAAAATGGAATCACTAACAAAAAGCCTACCAACCAGAAAAAGCCCAAGACCAGAGGGATTCACAGCTGAATTCTACCCAATGTATAAAGAAGACCTGGCAACAGTTCTTACTAAAACTATTGCAAAAAATTGAGGAGGAGGGAATCTTCCCTAACTTAATCAATGAGACCAGAATCACTCTGATACCAAAACTTGGCAGAGACACACACACACACACACACACACACACACACACACAAAGAAAACTTCAGGCCAATATCCTTGATGAGCGTAGATGCAAACATCCTAACTGAAATACTAGCAAACCAAATCCAGCAGCACATCAAAAAGCTTATCCACCACGATAAAGTAGGCTTTATCTTTGGGATGCAAGGTTGGTTCAACATATGCAAATAAATAAGTGTGATCATCACAAAAACAGGACCAAAAACAAAAACCGCATGATCATCTCAAAAGATTCAGAAAAGGCTTTTGATAAAACTCAACACTCCTTCATGTTAAAAACGCTTAACAAACTAGGCATTAAAGGAACATACTTCAAAATATTAAGAGCCATCTATGAAAAACTCACAGCCAATATTATACTGAATGGGCAAAAGCTGGAAGCATTTTTCTTGAAATCCAGAAGAAGATAAGAATGCTTTCCTTCACCAATCTATTCAACATAATACTGGAAGTCCTAGACAGAGCAATTAGTTAAGAGAAAGAAATAAAAGGCATTTGAACAGGAAGAGAAGACATCAAACTATTCCTGTTTGCAGATGATATGATACTATACTTAGAAATCCCCATAGTCTCTGCCCAAAACCTCCTTGATCTTATAAACTTTAGCAAAGTCTTCAGATACGAAATCAATGTACAAAAATTGGTAGCATTTTCTATGCCCCAACAACATTAAAGCTGAGAGCCAAGTCAAGAATACAATCTCATTCACAATAGCCATAAAAAAATTACATGCCTAGAAATATAGCTAACCAGGGAGGTGAAAGATCTTTAAAATGAGAATTACAAAAAAAATCGTTTAGTTCATTCTTCCATTGCTATAGAGAAATACCTGAGATTGGGTAATTTACAAAGAAAAATGACTTAATTGAATCATGGTTCCGCAGGCAGTACATGAACCATAATGCTGGCCATCTGCTTGGTGTTTGGGAGGCCTCAGAAAACTTAGAGTCATGGCAGAAGGTGAAAGGGAAGCAGGCTTGTCTTACATGGCTGGAGCAGGAGCAAGGGGTAGGGGGAGGTGCCACACACTTTTAAATGACAAGGTCTCATGAGAACTCACTATCACAATGACAGCACCAAGGGGTAATGGTGTTAAACTATGAGAAATCATCTCCATGATCCAATCAATTCCTACCAGGCCCCACCTCTAGCATTGCAAATTGCATTTCAAAATGAGATTTGGGTGAGGACACAGAGCCAAACCATATCATCCTACCCCGATCCCTCCTGAATTACAATCCTGGCTTCCCAACAGTCCCCCAAAGTCTTAACTCATTCTAGCATTAACTGAAAAGTCTACAGTCCAAAGTCTCATCTGAGACAAGGCTATTCACTTCTGCCTATGAGCCAGCAAAATTAAAAACAAGTTTGTTATTTCCAAGATACAATAAGGGTATAGGCATTAGGTAAATTCTCCCTTTCTAAATGGGAGAAATTGGCCAAAAGAAAGGGGTTATGATTCCATAAAAGTCCGAAACCCAGCAGAACAGTCATTAAATCTTAAAGCTCCAAAATAATCTTTTACTCAATTTCTCACATTCAGGGTACAGTGATGCAAGGGGTGGGCCCCTAAGGCCTTGGGCAGCTCTGCCCTGTGGCTTTGCAGAGATCAATCCCTGTGACAGCTCTCATGGGCTGGCATTTAGTACCTCCAGCTTTTCCAGGCTAATAGTGCAAACTGCTGGTGGATCTACCATGCTGGGGTCTGGAGGATTATAGCCCTGTTCTCACAGTTCCACTAGGCAGTGCCCCAGTAGAAACTCTGTGTGGGGGCTTCATCCTCATATTTCCCCTCTGCTCTGTACTAATAGAGGTTCTCTGTGAGGGCTTCACCCCTGCAGCAGGCTTCTGCCTGGACATCCAGGCTTTCTCAAACATTCTCTGAAACCTAGGAAGAGGCTCTCAAGCCTTAACTCTTACATTCTTTGCACCCACAGGCTGAACACCATGTGGAAGCTGCTAAGGCTTATGGCTTACATTCTTTGAGGCAGTGACCTGACATGTAACTGGATCCCGTTTAGCCATGGTTGAAGTTGGATACTCCTTGCTCCTCAGATTGCAGACGGCCTATTGTGGGACCTTGTGATCATGTGAGTTAATACTCCTTAATAAGCTCCCCTTTATATATATATCTATATATAGATATATTTATAGATAGATATACAAAGACATATCTTTATATTTATATCACATAAAAATACATGCTGTATCTTTATATCACATAAAAATATATGCTGTATCTTTATATCACATAAAATATATGCTGTATCTTTATATCACATAAAATATATGCTGTATCTTTATATCACATATAAATATATGCTGTATCTTTATATCACATATAAATATATGCTGTACCTTTATATCACATATAAATATATGCTGTACCTTTATATCACATATAAATATATGCTGTATCTTTATATCACATATAAATATATGCTTGTACCTTTATATCACATATAAATATATGCTGTACCTTTATATCACATATAAATATATGCTGTACCTTTATATCACATATAAATATATGCTGTACCTTTATATCACATATAAATATATGCTGTATCTTTATATCACATATAAATATATGCTGTATCTTTATATCACATATAAATATATGCTGTATCTTTATATCACATATAAATATATGCTGTATCTTTATATCACATATAAATATATGCTGTATCTTTATATCACATATAAATATATGCTGTATCTTTATATCACATATAAATATATGCTGTATCTTTATATCACATATAAATATATGCTGTATCTTTATATCACATATAAATATATGCTGTATCTTTATATCACATATAAATATATGCTGTATCTTTATATCACATATAAATATATGCTGTATCTTTATATCACATATAAATATATGCTGTATCTTTATATCACATATAAATATATGCTGTATCTTTATATCACATATAAATATATGCTGTATCTTTTTTTTTTTTTTTTTTTGAGACGGAGTCTCGCTCTGTCGCCCAGGCTGGAGTGCAGTGGCGCGATCTCGGCTCACTGCAAGCTCCGCCTCCCGGGTTCATGCCATTCTCCTGCCTCAGCCTCCCGAGTAGCTGGGACTACAGGCGCCCGCTACCACGCCCGGCTAATTTTTTGTATTTTTAGTAGAGATGGGGTTTCACCGTGTTAGCCAGGATGGTCTCGATCTCCTGACCTCGTGATCCACCCGCCTCGGCCTCCCAAAGTGCTGGGATTACAGGCGTGAGCCACCGTGCCCGGCCTATGCTGTATCTTTATATCACATATAAATATATGCTGTATCTTTATATCACATATAAATATATGCTGTATCTTTATATCACATATAAATATATGCTGTATCTTTATATCACATATAAATATATGCTGTATCTTTATATCACATATAAATATATGCTGTATATTTATATCACATATAAATATATGCTGTATCTTTATATCACATATAAATATATGCTGTATATTTATATCACATATAAATATATGCTGTATATTTATATCACATATAAATATATGCTGTATATTTATATCACATATAAATATATGCTGTATATTTATATCACATATAAATATATGCTGTATATTTATATCATATATAAATATATGCTGTATATTTATATATAACATATATAACACTTATATAACATATATTACATAACATAATATAACATATAACATATATTTATATATGTACATATAAAATATATAACATATTTATATATCTTTATAACTAATAGGATAATATATAAAATATTAATATATCTTATATGCTTATATATTATATACAAATATATAGGACACATAAATATAGAAGATATATTTATCTTTATATACAAATATATAATATATATTTATTATATTTATATATTATCCTATTAGTTCTGTTCCTCTAGATAACCCTGACTAATACAATAGCCAAAATAATCCTAAGTAAAAACAACAAAGCTAGAGGCATCAGGTTATCTGACTTCAAATTATACTACAAGGCTACAGTAACCAAAACAGCATGGTATTGTTACAAAAACAAACGTAAAAATAGACCAATGGAACAGAATAGAGAGCCCAGAGATAATGCCACAATCCTACAACCATGTGATTTTCTGATTTTTGACAAAAATTCACAAAAACAATGAGGGAAAGGGCTTTTTTTTTTTTTGAGACACAGTCTGACTCTGTCACCCAGGCTGGAGTGCAGTGGTGTGATCTTGGCTCACTGCAACCTCTGCTTCCTGGGTTCAAGTGATTCTCCTGTCTCAGCCTCCTGAGTAGCTGGGATTACAAGTGCCCACCACCACACCTGGCTAATTTTTTTTTTTTTTTTTTTTTTTTTTTTTTTAGTAGAAACAGGGTCTCACCATGTTGGCCAGGCTGGTCTTGAATTCCTAACCTCAGGTGATCCACCTACCTCAGCCTCCCAAAGTACTGGCATTACAGGCCTGAGCCACCATGCCTGGCTGGGAAACTACTTTCTATTTCATAAACGGTGCTGGGATAACTAGCCACCCATAGGCAGAAGATTGAAACTGAATCCCTTCCTTACACCATCTACAAAAATCAACACAAGATGGATTAAAGACTTAAATGTAAAACCTAAAACTGTAAAAACTCTGGAAGATAACCTAGGAAATACCATTATGACATAGTCCTGGCAAAGATTTCATGATGAAGATGCCAAAAGCAATTGCAACAAAAATAAAAATTTACCCAAATAAACTAAAGAGCTTCTGCACAGCAAAACTCTGTGTTATCAACAGAGTAAACACACACTCTACAGAATGGGAGAAAATATTTACAAACTATGCATCTGACAAAGGTCTAATTTCCAGCATCTATAAGAAACTTAAACAAGTATACAAGCAAAAACAAACCACCCCATTAAAATTGCGCAAAGTACATTAAGACATTAAGACACTTCTCAAAAGAAGACATACACACAGCCAACAAGCATATGAAAACATTCTGAACATCCTTAATCATTAGAGAAATGAAAATCAAAACCACAATGAGGTACCATCTCACATCAGTCAGAATGGCTATTATTAAAATGTCAAAAAATAGCAGATGCTGGCGAGGTTACAGAGAAAAGGGAATGCTTATACAGTGTTGATGGGAATGTAAATTAGTTCAACCACTGTGGAAAACAGTTTGGTAATTTCTCAAATAACTCAAAGCAGAATTACCATTCATCCCAGCAATTCCATTATTAGATATACACACAAAGGAATATAAATCATTCTACCATAAAGACACATGCACATTTATGTTCATCACAGCACTATTCACAATAGCAAAGACATGGAATCAACGTAAATGCCCAACAATGGTAGACTGGATAAAGAAAATGTGGTACATATACACCATGGAATACTACACAACCATAAAAAAGAATGACATCAGGTCTTTTGCAGCAACATGGATGGAGCTGGAGGCCATTTCCTAAGTGTACAAACACAGCAATAGAAAATCAAATACCACATGTTCTCACATATAAGTGGGAAGAAACATTGACATGTGGCCTTCTTTAGGGTGGAGGGTGGGAGGAGGGTGAGGATCCAAAACTACCTGTTGGGTACTATGCTTATTACCATCTGTACATCAAACCCTGGTGACGTGCAATTTACATACGCTACAAACCTGCATATTTACCCCTGAACCTAAAATAAAATAAAATAAAACAAAATAAAGACCTTTTTAGATAAGACATATAAAACATGCCCCATAGAAGACAAATTTAATCAAATTTTAACAGAATTAAAACATTTGCTATTCTAAAGACCCAATAATAAAATTAAAAGGCAAGTAAGAAAGTATAAGGAAATATTTGTAAATCACACATTTAATAAAAGATTTGTGGCTAAAATATGTAAGGAACTCTTACTACTTAACAACAAGACAAAGAAGCCAACCAAACTTGGCAAGATATTTTAATAAATATTTTATCAAGGAAAATACACAAATGGCTAATAAGCACATACAAATATGTTTAACATCATTAATCATTTGGGAAATAAAAATTAAAACCACAGTGAAATCAGAAAATGGATATAATAAAAGAGAATGACAAAACCAAATATTGGCAAGGATGTTTTGGTCAGCAGAATAATGAATCACCTTCCAAGATGTCCATGTGTAATCCCTAGAGACTTACATGTTATCTCACAAGGCAAAAGGAACTTTGTAGGTGTGATAAAAAGTTAAATATCTTAATATGGGAAAATTATCTTGGGTTTTTTAGCTGGGCCCAATATAATCACAAAGTTCCTTATAGGAAGGAGTCAGGAGAGTCAGTAAGAGAAGAAGATGGAATGACGGAAGCAAAAGCTGGACTGATGTACAGTCAGGAGTCAAGGAATGCTGGCAGCTGCTAGAAGCTGGCAAAGGCAAAATCATTTTTTCCACTGGAGCTTCTGGAAAGAAGACAGCTTTGCCAGCACCTTGATTAGCCCCCAAAGACCCATTTTAACTGCTGACACTCAGAATTCTAAGATAATATATTTGTATTTTTTATGCCACTAAACTTGTGGTAGTTTGTTACAATAGTAGTAGGAACTTAATACAGATGTGAAAAAAACTAGAACTACCAAACATTTTTTATGGTAATGTAAAATGGTACAGTTCCTTTGAAAAACTATTTGATAGTTACAAATAAGCAATTCCATTACAAGGTATTTGCAGAAGAGCAATAAAAATATATGTCCATACAAAGATATGTGCACAGATGTTCATAACTGTATTATTCACAATAGCCAAAACCAGAACAAATCCAAATATTTATTAATTTTTGAATGGATAAATACAATGCAGTATAACCATGAAATGGAATAATACCAGTGAAAAGGAATAACCCGATTATACAACCACATGAATGAACCTCGAAAATTATGTTAAGTGAGAGAAGGTGAATACGCAAGTTTACATATTGTATTGTTCTATTTCTGTAAAATTTCCAGAAAAGTCAAATTTATATAAAAAGAAAACCTATCAGTGTCTTCCCGGGAATGGAAGTTGCAATTGATTATAAACAAGGACAAGGGATTTTTTTAAGTTGTGAGAGAAGTGTTCCAAAACTTGATTGTGGTGAAGGTTGCACAAGTATGTAACTTTCTAAAATAATCAAATTGTACATTTATAATAGGGGAATTATTTTGTATGTAAGCATATCTCAATAAAGCTGTTAAAAGTAAAACAAGAAGAAATAGAAAAACATGTTGCCAAGTTCTCTCTCTACAATTTCCCAAGGAGCTCTTCTCTGCAGAAGAGACAGAAAAATTTTAAGTCACCTTTCCCCTTAATACATACTTAAATTTATTATATCTATCTGCATATTTGCATACTCACTGTCTGTTTTTCTCATATTAGAAAATGCCAAACTTCTTGAAAACAAAAGTAATGGTTAATATTGAATCCACAGTGGTATCCCCTATCCAAGAATCCACTATATGTCTAAGATACATTTGCTGAATCCCTGAGTAATCAATGCTCCCAGCTCAAACACCAGCATTTATTTTAGCTACCTGGAGAAATGTCCTTCCTCATGATTTTTTCTCAAGATTAAACTGTGGTGTAATTCCAAGTTTTAGATATTGTTCACTTTTAAAGCCTCTGTGAACACACAAGGAGAAAAAATGGGGAGAAAGAGTTTGTACATTTTGGCAGCACTAATTCTGTCCTTCCATTTTTTTTTTTAAAAGTACATTACCACTCAGAAATTTTGTTTTTTTTTTGTTTTGAATCATTTTACCCTTTTTTCTCTCTATTGTCTCTTCTATAGCTTTGCTTTTCTAATAACCACTCCTTTCTTTGAAAGAAAAATTATAAACTGAGCAGGTGTTCAGTCATATTTGGATAATTTTCTTCCATTCACTGCTTCCTCAAAAATATTTCATCCTAGATTCTTAATTGAATCATGTCATCTATTCATTTATTATTCATAGAACAAAACATGATTGTTACATCTGAACCAGCCATGCAGTGAGTTGCATCAGTTTTTAAATAGTTTGAAGTGAATGAATCGGCTAAAATGAAGTGAATGCACTTCAGCATATGTTGACACTGCCGAAATCAGTGGGCACCGAGCAGCTGCTTAAAAAATGACAGTGGTACAGCCCTGAAAGTGATATTTGTAGGAATGATAGCCATTCAATCTTTTTCCTTCAGTATTATGCAGTGATACAGTTTGGATGTTTGTCCCCTCCAAATCTCATGTTGCAATGCAATCCCCAGTGTTGGCGGTGGAGCCTGGTGGGAGGTGGTTTTGTCATAGTGGTGGATCCCTCATGAATAGCTTGATGCTGTCCTTGTGATAGAAATAGTAAGATAGTTCTTACTCTGAGTTCATATGAGATCTGGTTGTTTAAAAGTGCGTGGCACCCCCTGACTTGTTCTCTTCTTCCTGCTTTCCCTATGTGATGTGTTGGTTCATCTTCACCTTCTGCTATGACTGTAAGTTCCCTGAGGCTCTAGCCAGAAGCAGATGCTAGCACACTTCCTGTACAACCTGCAGAACCATGAGCCAATTAAACCTCTTTTCTTTATAAGTTACTCTGTTCTGGTTACTTCTTTATAGCAAGGCAAGAAGGCCTGACACGTTCAATGTGCTCTAACCTCCTGCCAAGTAGTGTGCAAGGTTCAAGAGATGGAAAATTGGAAGCGAAAGTCCTTGGAGAAGCTCTCATTCAACTGAAAGCAAATATGGTAAGAGATAATTTTCTCTACAATGTGATTAGAACTATGATGTGATATAAATAAAATGTTGGAAGTGTTCACAGATGACATAATATGTTTCCCTTGTTTCTTCTGTTGCTATTACTCAGTGCTACAAACTTCATTTTTTTTCCTACTGTTTTTAGGAACAGATAAGAAGGCAAGAAAAGGATCATCACAAATATAGCCTGACTGGATGCTGTTTAGAGCAGTAGCTATTCTATATCCTCACATTCTCAGGTTCTATAATCTGAAAATAGCTAAATAAAAATAATAGCTGAGCCCAAACCACTGAGGTTGGTGTCAATTCTTTCATTACAAGAAACTATCTCAGGGGCTGTTGAATAAAAATAATGATTTTATTTTATTCCCCCCCCAAACCCATTAAAACACTAATAAAGGGAATTTTAAAATATACAAACTCAAAAAAAGATGTGAAGGATTGTAGAAAAGAGAATAGCAACAAAAGTTTGGACCAAAAGAAAATAAATAAGTGAATTTAAAAGACCCCCCCCACCCACCTACCCCAAATAAATTCTATATTCATATCTTCCAAACTTTCAGAAATTGATGGTACCATCCTCTGAAAGTGGAGAACGGTTGAAACTCTATTTGATAATAAGTAAGTCTATACATCCATCACCTCCAGCAAAATAAATAAGCAAATAAAATAACTGACTTTTATTCTCAAATACAGGATTTTTGGACTTCCAATATGAGAAAAGATATCTTTGGAAAGATAAAACTGACAGCATACCTGATACATTCGAATGTATGGAGATGAGCAAGACATATGCCAATGAGATTGAGATTGAATTATTGAGAAGTACATAGAAAGTACATAGTACACCAAATAATTGGCAGCAGCAACGAGGCCAACAACAAAACAATAAATACCAAGAAATAAAAGCTGTGTGTAGGAAAAAAATTAGCAGGGGTAATACATCCATATATCATAAATTGTATTTGCACAGTTATATAAACACAAAATATTTATACAAAATTAATATGAAATGTATATAAATAAAATAAAATTATGTTGGAGGATGAAAGTAAAAAAGTTACCATTCAGAGGTAACAGTAAAGAAAATAGAGTTAAAATTTTTCTTTTCCAAAGAGAAAATTTTATTCTGGTCAGTAAGCACAGCCTAAGACAGGAACATCATGAAAGGACGTATCAAGCATATGATTCAGGGACATAGGGGTTAATTTCAAAATAAATATGAAAATTGATGAAAGGATTGCTTCTGAAAAGAAGAAATACGTGTGTTTGGGTGGGGGTGGTTCTGGGATTTTTTTCTTATAAAACTACCAGATTATTTGACCTTTAAACTAAGTGTATGACAAAAATAATTAAAGAACCAAAAAGAACTTTTGCAATACCCATGCTGTTCATTTGTCATTTGCTTCCTTCTTGACACAGCCTATTCTTTCTAATAAGAGAAAAAGTCTATTAATTTTCTTTCTTTATCATTCTTAACTACTTCAAAGGAATTATTGAATTTTAGAAACTTGAAGCATGATGTTAGCTATAATAGGGATTTAAATTTGTTTCCAAAAGGTTATATGTATGTTAGAAAATTTCAGGTGACACATATTAATAATGCAACAAGCTGCATAAGAAAAGAGCACCAAGGCTTTGATGTTCCCTACCAAATTTGATGACCCCCAGCAATTCTGATAAAGATTTGATATTAAAGCATGATTAGTACTAGATATTCATATAGTTGGTTTCTGACTATATAAATATCAGAAACATGGAGAAGAGAATGGGAGAAGGAATGAATGCAGCAGACTCAAAAATTCCACAGAAATACTTTCACTGGTGAAGACCCATAATACCTTCACAATTTGTCATCAGTCTTTCCTATGAAACATTTGTGCTAAAAAGTAAAAGCTTTGTATGAATTCCAAATTATTTGTTTAACCTAAAACCAAACTGCCTCATATACAGCAGCCACAAGTATATGTCACAAAACCAATAAATTTTTGGCCAAGAGGTGGTAAGTTTAGATTTACCACTTATCAGGAAGTCCAAGGTGACTCCCTGAATTCTTACAACAAATTCACTGAGATTCTGTTATCAGTGGGGATCTTGTTAAATAGACTGAAAATTAATTAAGGACAGGTAGGATCTTCGCTTTATGTAAAATGTCATTAAAGGTATCAAACAAACTTTATTAAGAAGGTGATTTTGCAATACACTAATATGTGCACTAAACAAAGAAAAAATTAGTCATTGTTCTCATTTGTAATCTGACACAAATATAATTTAGTAAAAAGAAGCTTAGATATCTGATATCTGAAATATTGGCCAACACATATGTTGATGGTGTCATATCTGTATTGTATATCAGCAAAATATGGTATTTTAGGTGGTGGAAATAAGAATTAAAAACATTGCCATACAAAAGTTTTGACCTAACAAGTTCACTACTAGGAATCTTTCCCCAGAATTCTACATAAGCACAAACATATGTGCAAAAGGATGTTCAATGCAGTATTATATATGATGGCAAAAAATTGGAAATATCTAAAATGTCCACTAATTTTAGAATGTCCAAATAATACATCTCAATTATAGAATATTAAAAATATATACATATTCACACACCCATGGCTTGAACACATATTTAGCAATGCAGTCATATGTCACTTGACAGGGGTGTATTCTGAGAAATGTGTGCTTAGTTGATTTTTGTCATTGTGCAGACATCATAGCATGTACTTACACAAATAGATGGTATAGCCTACTATACACTGTAGGCTATATGGTATGGCATATTGCTCCTAGGCTGCAAACTCATACAGCATGTCACTGTACTGAATATTGTAGGCAATTATAACACAATGGTAAGTATTTGTGTATCTAAACATATATAAATATAAAAGGCACAGTAAAAATATGATATAAAAGATAAAAATGGTATACCTGTATGGGGCAGCTCCACTATAATCTTATGTGACTACCATTGTATATGTAGACCATTGTTAATTGAAACATCATTATGTGGCACTCGATGTGCATCAAGACATTTTTTAATGAAAAAAATTAAATATTTTACCCATTTATATATTTAAAAGATATATATGTATGTACATACAAAATTCAATGCACGGATTGGGGCAGAGAAGAATGTACATCCCTTGTTGATAGTAATAACCTCTAGGAGTATTATATGGAATGATTGAGGTCTTAGAGAAGCCATATAGCATAGGGGTGGAGGGTATGCCCTTTGGTGCCAGACCTCCTAAGTTTGGATCCTGGCTCTGACACTTAATTGTGTGTCCTTTCTAGTTTCCTCCTCTACAAAGTATCACATGCATTTGAGTATTGCTTAGAACAGACTTGGCCACATAATCAGCATTATATCAATTAGCAAGGACTAAACAAACATTAATCTGTATTTTAAAGGGAAACTTTCAATTTTTACTCTGTAACCAATATGTTTTTTTAACTTTTGTGCAATGTATTATTGTTTTATTTAATAATCTAGAACAAAGAAGACCAAATCCAGAAATGTTGTTATTGCTCTAATGATGATGAAATTGTACAAAAATGTCAAAACATTGAATTTTAAGACCTCCTAACCATTCACTGGTAAATGAACTAAAGTACTCAGAGTAAATAATTACCCCTCTACTGTCTCAAGGGCAGAAAATTATTGCTCTTTCCTCTTAATGAATCTGACAGTGCTGTGTACACAGCGGGTGTGCACTAAATGTTTGCTGATAATGATAATGGTGAGGATGCGGACAGCTGTGACACACTATAAAGCTTAATTTAGAAGCCATCAGGAAAATATAACACAAAATAGAGCCTTTCTAAACTTTGTCTGCATGGGAAACAAATTCGTTAGATGATTAATAAAGTAATTCAGCGTACATCGTACTATTGATTGCTTTGGTACCATCCTGAGTTTTTCTCATTAGCATGACCTAATTATTACTTCAGATGATTCAGAGTGCATAGCAAGGTCCATTTCTATTATTTTAGTCTTAAAAGTTGGTCTCCTGTAAGCACTTTCTAAATTAAATGCATAAAATGGTTGTTATCAACTAAATTATACTTAACCCCTGCAGCAAGATCTGCAGTAGTGTGACTGTTTTCTATCTTCTTAAATTGCTAATGCTATTTTGTTTCCATAATGACATACTCCTTTTCTAGGTGTTTAAGTAGTCTATGCATGAAGAGAGTGACTTTATTGGAAAGAAGATGATGCCTCTCTATTTTAGCTCCATCCCAGTTTTAGGGGAGTGAGGCTCCAACTACTTAGAGATTATATATCCTCTCTTCTGCAATCAGTGAAGAATGAGCCAAACCATATGAAAGACTTGTCCCTCCCATCAGCAAAATCTGAACTTAGTCTTCACTGATGGAGCTCTGTTTCCTTGAGGCTGGTATGATGGCAACCGCAGTGATAGAAAGAAAATCCACATAAAAGATACATTTCACCGAAGACTATGGGGTACAGGTAACCTTCCTCAATGGGAGATTCTCCCTCTCTAGCTATAACAGGAAAGAGACATCATATTAGTAATGTGAACAGGAAAATTTCAATATTAAAAAAATGAACTAATAACAGAATATTAACTCCTCAGAGGGGTAAAGAGAACTCTAAAATTTACAGAAATAGCAGATGTAGAGAGCAGCCACCACTCTAGGGGGGAGGCAGAGCACCCAAAGAAGAATCAAACTGGGAAGAGGGCCTTCCCCGTGACTGAGATTTAGGCCTCATTGGAGAGGGTGTAGATGTGTCTACTGCATGACAGAGAAGTTTGCTGGGGTACCCCAGAATGGAGCTGGCAACTGGGGTACTGGCAAGATTCACCAAGAAGCTGTCCACTAGGACATTAGTAAGACCCATTAGGAAGCCAGGTGGAGTGCCAGAGAAGACTGAATACTCACTGGGAAGCCACTCACTGAGGTGCTGGTAAGACTTGCAAAGAAGTCACCCTCTGGGATGCACATGAAGCTCTCTGGGAAGCCAGCACATGGGGTGCTGACAAGACTCGCCCGGGGGATGAATGCCACTTACAGTCACATGTGGAATAATCCAGAAAGAAAAAGCACTCCATACCAGGACAAGAAGCCCCTTCCTCCTACAGTGTACCTCCAGTGGCCTCTATTTACGATAGTAATAGTGTGCTTGCTGGCAAGAACAATGTACAAAGTTCAGTTTCAGTATCTCCAAGCAGGGCAAAGAATACTGGATTTGAAGCTCAGAGGCAATTAATTGAAAACTGGAACACTAACCAAACCTGAAATATTGGAATTTAGTTTTACTATAAGATCTCCTATAGTAAAATGACATTCCTAATTTTTTACCCTTTATTCATTGATTTATTAACTCAATCAAGAAACATTTACTGACCACTCATCATATGACAGGTATACTATACTACGGACAAAAAACATAATTGGAAGTGAGAAACCTAGTTCCTGGCCTTGATTGCTGATGGCTGATCTTCTTCCAGAGTCAATTCCACCCCACTCTCAAGTTCAGTATCCCTGTGACCCTCCCGATCAATCCCCTCCCTCCAGCTCTGATCCCCTTTGTCCCCAGAATGCCCCAAACAAAAGCACACAGTGTTAATAAATAAAATAATTTTGTTGCTTAACTAAATATGTTTACACAGAAAACGAGAAAGTGATACCCTAAAGTGCAGCATTGGCAATTGGAGACCAGAAATCAAGAACAGTAGAAAGGATACTTAGGAGGTAGAACAAGAGGGGCTAAGCAGAATGAATAACAGATTTTTTAATTAGAAAAGTTTCCCCAATAAAGGGCCTACAGGAAGGAAATGTGCTTAGAATAGGGATTGGATGGGAAATGAATAGGTCAGTTTGCACATCTGGAGCCTCAAATGCACGTACAAGGCCCATTCAAAGGGAAATGTCTAGCTGGTGGCTCATGTTTGCCTAGAGTAGAGGAGAAAAGTCTAGGCATCATTATCATAAATGACTTTTCCCAGTTCTTGAATGAATGACTGAATGAGAAAAGTTGAGAACAGTATATGTAATGAGACCTGGGACAGGAGGGGAAATTGTCTATGTATAATCAAAACACATCCTCTACTATGGATCTACCTCTAGCCTTCATTTTGGCTATTGAGGAAGAGAAAGTTATCTTCACTCTTAGAATTTTTACTCCATTAGCCTGCAACCAAAGAAAGGTGAGAAATAACACTACCAAGTCCTTTTTCTTCCTACACTCACGGCCCTAAGAAAAGTCATCTGACATCAGTCTGACCAACAGATCTGTCATTTTTCATTTCAATGGAGTTGGTTCGGCTGACCTCCCATTCCTCCATCTTTCACCTTAGAGCTCTTGGTCAGTTGAAGAGAAATCCTACTGACAGCTAAAAGACAATGATTTTTCTTTTAAATGTATATATAAATATATATATATTTATATTATACTTTATATACTTATATATATACTTAAATATATATATTATACTTTAAGTTCTAGGGCATGTGCACAATGTGCAGGTTTGTTACATATGTATATATATGCCATGTTGGTGTGCTGCACCCATTAACTCATCATTTACATTAGGTATATCTCCTAATGCTATCCCTCCCCCCTCACCCCACCCCACAACAGGCCCCAGTGTGTGATGTTCCCCTTCCTATGTCCAAGTGTTCTCATTGTTCAATTCCCACCTATGAGTGAGAATATGTGGTGTTTGGTTTTTTGTCCTTGTGATAGTTTGCTGAGAATGATGGTTTCCAGCTTCGTCCATGTCGCTACAAAGGACATGAACTCATCAGTTTTTATGGCTGCATAGTATTCCATGGTGTGTATGTACCACATTTTCTTAATCCAGTAAAAAGACAATGATTTTTCTATGGGGGGCAAGTATTCTGTCCACCAGACTCTCCAAGCAAACTCCCTGAAAACAAAGAATATTCCCAGGGCTGAAAGAGAAGTGAGAGAAAATTAGAAGATGCAAGTAGCTCCATTACTAAAGTGTTCCTGCTTTATGTCATTTGTTTTTGGAGCCACTTCTGCAGTATTGGGCTTGCACTTACAAAGCTATCTCCAATCTTAGGGCCATATCTCACCTTTCATACTTTTTAAAATTCTTTAATAATAAAAAATGTAACACTTTTATTTTATATTTCTCTCTCCCACAGAGGCCAGACATAAAACACTCAAACTACTTGACTAGAGGTGTGAAGATTTCTTGAGAAAATCTATACTGGTTAGCAATCATAGTAACAAATTAGAATTGAATGTGCTAACTTATCTGGTTTAAGGAATATTTTCTGAAAGATTTTCCTCAGTTCCTTATTTTTCTCCCCACACATTTGAATTCACATCTTTCTGGACAAGGTCATTTCAGAACAACTTCTCAGGAAAATGTCATTTCTCCTCTCCCTTAAAATCTACTCAATTTCCTGACCCTGCCTTGAATAGATTAACTCCGTAGTGAGGCTAGAGAAGTAGGTAGGAGCCTGGCCACACATGACCTTACGAGCTATGTTAACAATTTGGGGGCCAAGTGTGGTGGCTTATGCCTGTAATCCCAGCACTTTGGGAGGCCGGGGAGGTGGATCACCTGAGGTCAGGAGTTTGAGACCAACCTGGCTAACATGGCAAAACGCCGTCTCTACTAAACATACAAAAAATTAGCAGGGTGTGGTGGCGGGTGCCTGTAGTCCCAGTTACTTGGGAGGCTGAGGCAGGAAAATCATTTGAACTCGGGAGACAGAGGTTGCAGTGAGCCAAGATCTTGCCACTGCACTCCAGCCTGGATGACAGAGCGAGACTCTGTTTAAAAAAAAAAAAAAAATTAATTTCAGTATTTAATTTAAGAATAAGGTAGACCCTGAATTCTAAACAAGTGAGTGATGTGATCAGATTTGTGCTACAGGTAACTTGGCTTGCTTCTCAAAGAATGGATTGAAGGCTGACAGACTAAAGGCAGGAAGAACTTTGAAGGGGCTTTGGTAGTGACCCATCTGAAAGACTGTGTTCTCTGAATACGGATAGTAGTAAGCAGGGCTGAGGCTATGTGAAGGGATTTAAGAGATATTTAGAAGATAAGCTTAGATGGGTTTGGTGAGAGAACAGAGTAGAATCAAGGAACTTGACCAGGTTTTTGGTCCAGCCTTTACTTTAGAAGAGAACTTGGGAGGGAAAGAGTCCATGACTAGAGCAGTGATGGAGGATGACTTTGTTCTTGTGTTACATTTCAGGTGACAGTGGAGCAACCATATGTGGTTGATTGGACATATCAGAAATTAAGCCTAAGGTGGAAGCTCTATGGACCCTAGGATTTAGGGAAAGCCAAGCCTGCAAGTCTGGTGGGACAGCCTTACAGGGATCTGTGATGCTTTCTGGAAAGTCAATCTAGGCTAAAAAGAGATACACAACTTCAGTTAAAGAACTCATCCAAAAAGTGGGGATGAATTTTTGAGCACCACATGGCTTATGCATCAGATTATCCTCTGGTAATCCCCTAGAAACACACCTAGTGTTTTTGGGTAAAAGGCTCTTAAAAAACTGGAATGACTAAAAACTTAATGTGCATTCCCTCCACAATTTCAGTGGACACTCCATGTAGAAGGCATTAGCAGCAGCAGGTTTCCTGGGACATGAATAACATTCTTTGTGATGAAAAAGCATCAGCCACAGTAAGATGTGCGTTTAGGATCTTCTCCAGTAGATTGCAGTGCCTTGGAAAATTGATGGTGTCTTTAATGGGCATTGGTGGTACAGTGCCTATTTTGATGATGATCACATAAAGGGTCTTAAAAACACATCTCAATAATGCCAATTTGTACAAATATCAAAAAGGGTCTTACTGGGGAAAACCTTACAAACAGCAAACTAGTAGAGCATACTTGATCCCCTGAGCCATTGAGGTCCCATATTGAGCTGTACTTAGGACAGGCATAATTGAAAGGAAACATCATGAAAAAGGCTCCTTGAGAGACCTACCCCAGTAATGCACTACTTAATTATAGGAGCAGGACATGTCTAGACCAGCACATTTCAACAGAAGCTTTCTGATGCAAAAATAGGCTTGTTAGAAAAAGTCTTTGGAGGTTAGTAGCTGTTATTATCAGCCTGTTTATCAGTTAAGCTAACTCTGACCTGCTGAGCCAGCTCTTTGTTAAGCTGTTAGAAAAGGAGAGAAAATGAGCCTCTAGGGTCTTACAGTCTGTCTCTCCTTAATGTTTGTCTATAAAAGATGTACTTGCCACTAAAAATCTTAGCTTAAAGGGAAGAAAGTAGTTGGTGCCACGTATAGACTAGGTCTAAAAGGACAGAAACTATCCCTTATGAGAGTAAAAACTTTAAAAGTTTCCATGAAATAAAGGTGTTGATGTACTGGTAATGCTTCAGAAACTCCTAGAATCATCTGGAAAAAAAAATTGAGGTACATAGGTGATGCAAAAACAAAAACAAGAAACAAACAAACAAACAAAGTAGGCAGAAGATGAGCCAGAGAAATACTCTTTTGTGACTCAGATATGTACAGCCTGAGGAAAATTGATTATCTTAAAACATACATAGATCATAGGTGGAGATACTTAGTTGATCCAACAAAATGGATTTAATATACATATTATATATAAATATATATAAAATAGTTAATTATTATATGTTCCCTCTGCCAATATGTCAGCAAATTTAAATCTGACACTGTTTTACTTAAAGTAGGTGATATCCTGATCATCAAAAGGTGTATTTTAGTTTTAATAGAGAAAATTCAGATACCATGGAAACATTTTTACTGACCTAGTTTTGTTTCTGCATTGTGCCACAGGGAGGAGTAAATATGGAAAACAGAAATCAGGAGGAAAAGGGAGTAATTTGTCTGTTTCTTTCTGTTTTTTGTTTGTTTGTTTGTTTTTTTAACACCACCTCGAGCTCTATATCATTATTTTCTACTTTCCTTAAAGAGTTAAATTATCTCTAAAGATTAGTAACTTACATCCTTTTACTTATAATAGATAGAAACAAGCCCTCAAATTATATATATGTATGAGTGTGTGTATACATTTTTCTTAAATCTTAAATCCTGTACTAACACTGTAACAGACACGAACAAGGGAACCCCCATACCATTTTTCTTCCTCCTCTTGTTCACGAATCACTCCCACTCCCATAGTCATGTCTGAGCAGACACAAGCTACCCAGCTAGACTACATTTCCTTGGCCTCACTTGAGTTTATCTGTGGCATTGTAACCAAATTCTCAAGGGAACGTGAGCAGCAGAAGTATGTACATTTCCATGGTGCTTAATGGATCTCCACTTCCTTTCCTTTCTTTCCCTCTTATTCACTGGTGTATGAGGACAACTGGAGTTGCCACCTTTTAGAGATGGAAGCCACATGTTGAGGATGACAAAGGTGAACATTCCATCTGTCCCTGGGTAGCTTCATGGAACAAAAAGGTTATATAAAAATGAACCAAACGTCTATTCTATTTAAGCGCCTCCATTTTAGGTCTCTATTATAGCAGCTTAGTTTGTACTTTAACTACAAGTATCGAACTATAGAAAATTGTCAACCTACTATAGCACTGTATTAGGAGAGGTAACAGTTCTGAAGTCTTTAGCATGCCTTTTTCATCTAATTTATTCTACTCCAATATCTTTTTAACGTCCACTTTGCCTTGCAAAATTTCAGTAGCTTCTGGGATACCTAGGGTTTTTTGTTAACAGTTAAAACTGGCTGATGTATTTTTAGCTCACTAGGTATTAATATGTATTTTTCATTTTTTTCCTAGTACAGTATTTCTCAGGCCAATTTATAGAAATGAGCCCTGAGGATGCCAGATATTACTGCATTCAATTTATACCTGCTAGAGAACAGAATGATTACACTGAATTAAATCTCCATCATTCTCGCTGGTATCCAAAGATACCCATTCTGACAAGGCTGTGCTAGCTATCATCAAAAGCAATATCTCAGGAAACAGACTTGTAGTGCTATAGGCTAGTCTTGTAAAAAGAAACTTATGCAGCTTTGCAATGAAACAGTCTAAGGCTCTAAGGAATATAATATAACAATCTCTCTGTGCAAAGGCATGATTAATTAGTGTGCTGTAATTCACTATTCCCTTTTTTTCCCCACTAAGATAGTTTCCCCTAGCACATGGTAAGGAAAGTCTTATGTTTCCTGCTGCTTTAGAGAATATTTGCCATCTTAACACTTTCAAGAGTTATAAATCATACTCTTTTACATTGGAATAACCCATCAAGAAGTTAGCAATTACAAAACAAAGGCAACATTATCAAGAAAAAGTAATTAACAAATGGTGCTGGAACAAGTGTACATCCACATGCAAAAAAAAAAAAAATACATCTAGACACAGACTTTACACCCTTCCTAAAAATTAACTCAAAATGTGTCACAGACCTAAATGTAAAATGCAGAACTATAAAAATCCTAGAAGATAATAGAGGTAAAAAATACAGATGATCTAGATTGGGTGATAACTTTTTAGATATAACACAAAAGGCACAATCCATGAAACAAAGAATTGATAAGCTGAACCTCTTTGAAATTAAATTTTTCGGTTCTGTGAAAGACACTGTCAAGAGAACAAGAAGATAAGTCACAAAATGGGATAAAATATGCAAAAGATATATCTGATAGAGGACTATTATCCAAAATATACAGAGAACTATTAAAATTCAACAAGAAAGCAAACTCAATTTCAAAAACTGGCCTACACCTTAACAGACACCTCACCAAAGATGATGTACGGATGTCAAATAAGCATATGAAAAACTGCTCCACATCATCTGTCAGTAGGGAAATGGAAATTAAAATAAGAAGCCGGCTAGGCATGGTGGCTCATGCCTGTAATCCCAGCACTTTGGCAGGCCGAGGTGGGCGAATCACCTGAGGTCGGGAGTTCAAGACCAGCCTGACCAACATGGAGAAACCCTGTCTCTACTAAAAATACAAAATTAGCCTGGCAAGGTGGCGCATGCCTGTAATCCCAGCTACTCGAGAGGCTGAAGCAAAAGAATCGCTTGAACCCGGGAGACGGAGGTTGCGGTGAGCTGAGATCGCACCATTGCACTCCAGACTGGGCAACAAGAGCGAAACTCCGTCTCAAAATAATAATAATAATAATATGCTACTACATACTTACAGTATTTGAATGGCCAAAATTCAGAATGCTGACAAAGCAAGTGCTGACAAGAACATAGGGCAACAGAAAATCTCTCATTCATTGCTGGTGGGAATGCAAAATGGTGTAGCCACTTTGGAAGACAGTTTGTAGTTTCTTGCAAAACTAGACCTGTTCTACCATATGACCCAGCAATAGTGCTCCTTGGTATTTACCCAAATGAGTTGAAAACTTATGACCCCACAAAACAAAAAACAAAAAAAAAAAACCCTGCACATAGATGTTTGTAGCAACTTTATTTATAATTGATAAAACTTGGAAGAAACCAAGCTGTCCTTCAGTAGGTGAATGGATAAACTGTGGTACTTCCAGACAAGAGAAAATTATTCAGAGCTAAAAAGAAATGAGCTATCAAGCCAAAGACATGGAGGAATTTTAAATGCATATTACCAAGTGAAAAAAAGAAACAACCTGAAAAGGCTACATACTGATTCCAACTATTTGACATTCTGAAAAAGTCAAACCTAAAAGCTAAAAAGAACACTGGTTGCCAGGTGTTAGGGGAAAGGAGGGATGAATGGGCTGTGCACAGATGATTTTTGAGGGCAATGAAAATGCTGTGTGATACTATAATGTTGCACAGACATCATAATACATTTGTCCAAGCACATAGAAGGTAAAACACCAAGAATGAACCCTAACGTAAACTATGGTCTTTGAGCGATAATAATGGGTCAATGTAGGCTCATCGATTGTAGCAAATGTACCACTCCAGTACGTGGTAATTAGGACTGTTTCAGGCCAAGCGTGTATGAAGAATCTCTACGCCTTTTGTTCAGTTTGCTATGTACCTAAAACTGCTTTAAAAATTAGTCTTTTTTTAAAAAAAAAATATAGCTGTTTATCTAGAAAGATTTAAGGACACAAAGGCTTTCATTGTTTATAAATATCTTGTTATAGTAAGCCACACCATCATTACTATTGTCCCAGATTTTTAGAGTATTGCCTTCAGAAATCTCTGTTCAGAATTTAATTGTGCCATCTTAAGTTTATAATATATAACATGTTAATGTATTGACAAACACAGATTTTTTTTTTTTTTTTTTTTGAGACCAAGTCTCACTGTGCCACCAGGCTGGAGTGCGGTGGTACGATCTCAGCTCACTGCAACCTCCACCTCCTGGGTTCAAGTGATTCTCCTGCCTCAGGCTCCCGAGTAGCTGGGACTACAGGCGTGCGCCACCATGCCCAATTAATTTTTGTATTTTTAGTAGAGACAGGGTTTCACCATGTGGGCCAGGATGGTCTCGATCTCTTGACCTTGTGATCTGCCCACCTTGGCCTCCCAAAGCGCTGGGATTACAGATGTGAGCCACCGTGCCCGGTTGAACATGGATTTTTAAAAGATTATCTATGTGTTGTATAGCTGGATTACATGAGGTTTTAGGTCATAAGATAGATATAGTTTTATATTACAGAGAAACATCAACATGACTAAAAGATCCTACAAGGGATGATCTAGGGTAAACTGAATTGGTCAGAAAGCATCAGGACACATTAGACTGGGAGAACATCTTCTCTGAACTCCAGAGTGGTATATCCAAACTCCTAACCCAATATTTCCACATGGAAATCTAATGGACATCTCAAAAGTAGTATGTCTAAAGTAAAAATCATGAGCTTTCCCCTAAAACTTGTTCTTCTAATTTTTACGGAAGCTAAAGCTCAAACTTTGAAGTCACCCTTGACTGGCTTTTTAACAGCTCATATTCAATCCATTCAAAAATTATATTCAACTTCAAAAATCTATCCAGAATCCAACCACTTTCCTATGACCTTGGTCCAAACATCACCTCTTACCAGGCTGAATGCAATAGATGCATAACTCAGTTTCCAGCTTTCACTTCCTTCCCTCTACACTCTATTCTCAACACTGCAGTTAGAGAAATCCAGTTAAAATGAGATTTCAAAACTATGAATGAAGAGTTAAGAAAAAAGTTAGATTGAATTTCTCTAATACTCATCTAAGACTGTGCTCTTCAATACTGGCCCCATGTAGCTACTGAACTGTGAAATTAATTTTTTTATTTTAATTATTTAAGTTTAAAAATTAGATCATTGTAAAATATTTTTTCTGTTCAACACAGCTTTACTGATTTGGGAAGAATACATTTTAATTTAACTGTTGAAAAGTTGACATTCCCATTGAGGTGTGCTGTAAGTGTAAAATACACAGCAGATTTTGACTTTGTGTCTTAGTCTATTCAGACTGCTATAATAAAAATGCCATAGACCGATGTCTCATAGACAACAGAAATTTATTTCTCACCATTATGGAGACTGAGAATTCTAAAATTAAGGTGTCAGCAGATTGAGAGTCTTGTGAGGCTCCACTTTCTGGTTCATAAATGGCCCTCTTCTTGCTGTGTCTTTATGTACATAAAGGGAGAAGAATGCACTTGAGCATCTTTTTTATGAAGGCCCTAATCCCATTCAAGAGGATTTTCTCTCATAACCTAATCATGACCCTCAAAGACCCTACACCTCCTAATTCCATCACTTTGGGAGTCAGGATTTCAAGATATAACTTGGGAATGATACAAACATTCAGTCAATAGCAAGTTCTATTAAAAAATTGAAATATTTCATTAATTACTGATTGCATGTGAAATGACTATATTTTTGATATATTGTATTAAAAAGTATTATTGAAATTAATTTTATCTGTTTTTTTGTTCATTGTGATCACCAGAAAATTTTAAAAGACATATGTAGGGATTATATTATATTTCTTTCCAACAGCACTGATTAAGAGTATCAAAGAAACAATGTTGAGAATGATGGAAAAGCACCATTTGAAAACATAATTGCTGATAACTTTCCAGAAAAATAGATCCTCATAGAAAAAAGTCTTTGAATACTATGCAACATAAATAATAAATCTGTACCAATCCATATCACAATGAAGATGCAGAATATCAAAGACAAACATGAAATCTGAAGAGCTACCAAGTTTACCAATAAAGTTTGATATTTAGGTGAACAATAAACTTCTCAATACTAGAAGATAGGGTGTTTAAAGTTCCTATGGAAATAACTGTCTACCTATCTAAACTAATTAAAGAGGGAAGACAATGAAAAACAATAGCAGAGAGAATATATAAATTGCATCAAGGAATAGCGGGTACTAAAATTGTTTTTTAATTAGTATATATAACAGATTATCAATTCTACAAATAACCAAAATGTTCTGCTGAAAAAGATAATTAAAATTCTAAAGAATCATAATGAGATGATAAGCATTTATGGGATAAGGATAAACATTTAAACATTTTGTCCTGGCCAGGAGGAGAATGACATTACCAATTATTGACTTGATTGTAAAAATATACAGTTCATCATAAAGTATAATACATTTTTTAAATATAAAATCTATAGTTTTCAAATCTGTGTAGGAAAAGAGGGAATATAGAACAGAAAGCAGGAAATGATGGGAGGAAGGGGTTATAAAAATGGATGTTAACATAAAAACACCAAGTGAAATTATAGAGATAAGTAAAAGTGTATCAGTAATCACAGTAAATGTATAGAGAGATTAAAATCATGCATTAAAGAACAAATATAATCAAATTAAATGAAAAAAATTCTTATATTTTTTCCAAGAGATATACATATAACCATATTGAAAGGTTAAAAATAAAGTTACAAAAGGAGATATATCAGATAAATGTCAGCCAAAAGAAATCTGGAATATAATATGAATATCAGAAAAAATAGAAAGTATAAATTTTAGTAGGGATAATGAAGAACACTACTTTTTTAATATAATAAAAAAAGTGTGAAAGATACTAAGCAAAAACTGACAGACTCACAAGGAGATATTGACATCTCCAATAAATGCAGAGTTTTAATAAGACTTTTATGGACAGAAATAGTAAAGATTTGAGCAACAAAATTATCATGAGTGATCTATGTCTCTCTTTCTCTCTGTTTTTCTCTCCGCCCAACCCGCCTCATGCACATACAACCTGATACCTCCAAGTCAGAGAACATACATTCTTTCATGTACCTAAGAAAATTTTTACAAAAATTTTCTAGATCACTAATTCTCAAAAAATTTAAAAGAATCAATATTAATATAGACTACATCATATAATCAAACCTCAAGCCAAAATCAAAACTACAAAGTTATTTATGTTAATGAATATATGCCTGGAGTCTTATAAATGGCCTCCCAAGTAACATACAATATTAATCACAATGAAAATTATAAAATATTTCGAACTTACCAACAACAAAAGTAGTCCAAAATATAGCAGATGCAACAAACAGTACTAATAGGTAAATTTAGGGAAATACATTTAGTTTTTAAAATGAGGAATGATTAAAGTAAGCTATGTATTCCACTAAGAAAGCTAAAAACATAACAAAATAGTGATTAAAATGAAGGAAGTAATAAAGAAAAGTATAGAAATCAATAATGTAGCAAAGGGGAAAATTACCAATGAAATAAAAAACTAGTACTTTGTGGAAACCAAATTTTCTTACCACACCAAAAAAACAAAAAAAACAAAAAAAACACATGCTGAGATGGTTTGATGAACAAATTTTACCAATATTGAGCAACAAATAATCATTTTATTGAATTAAAAATGCAAAGACCTGAAAAAGAAGAACAGCAACCAGACTTACCATATAAATCTCGTCCTTAACACCAAACCTGTGAAGTAGAAGAAAATATAAACCAATTTTACTTGTGAATATAAATGCAAAAAATCCTACAAGAAAGAGATATGGCAACTAAGTTTAGTACACTATTTTTTTCCTATAAGAATATTATTGGCACAATTGGAATTTGAATGGGGCCTGTGGAGTATCATAGCAATGTTTTTCAGCATACAACTATATTTACTTATTTTGATGGTTGTATTGTGTATGTGTAGGAGAATGAAGAAAGTAGACTCTAAAGTATTCAGTGATTGTAGGACCTCAGGCCTCAACTCTAATGGCTTAAGCAGGGAAAAAGGCTATTTATACTAGACTTGCAACTATTCTGTGAGTTTGTGACAGGTTCAAAATCAAGATATTTTAAATATTTTAAAAAATCAACTTAAAACAAAAGCACGTGAAAGAAAATTTTGGCTTGGTGCAGTGGCTCATGCCTGAAATCCCAGCACTTTGGGGAGCCAAGGCGAGAGGACTGCTTGAGCCCAGGAGCTTGACACCAGCTGGGACAACATAGTGAGACCTTGTTTCTAAAAAACATTTAAAAAATAGCCAGGTATGGTGGCACATGCCTGCCCTCCCAGATACTCTGGGAGGCTGAGGCAGAAGGAACTTTTGAGCCCAGGAGTTCAAGGCTGTAGTGAGCTAAGAAGGTGCTACTGCATTCCAACCTGGATGACAGAGCAAAACTCTGCCAAAAAAAATAAATAAATAAATAAATAAAACAAAAAATAAATAAAAATAAATCTGATCTCATCAATGCTTTAACTTATTTATACTTATTCAATAATAACTTACTGCTTCCATTTTGTAATACAACCTGTGTATGCTGAAATTTGATTCAGTACTATAATGTTATAACAGAGATTAAAAGTATACAATCTACCTCCAGCAGATTGTCTGGGTTCAAATCCCAGCTCAACCAGCTGCTGTCTGTGTGATCTGGGCAAGTACTGAACACCTGTTCTTCAGTTTCCTCATTTATAAAAAGTCAGGAAGTAATGAGTTAATATATATAAAGCATTAAAGTATTGAGTGGTAAATATTTATTGATAAGTGAATATTAGCTATAGTTATTAGAGTCAACCTTTCTACAGAAAAAAATGGAGTTATCATTCTAAATATATTCACATTATACTACTAATAATACAGCAGTAGTAATTACAAACTAATAATATATTTTAAGTTTATGACTAAGACCCTTTTCACAATGTCACAATTTTTACTCTACCTAAATTACATGTTTGGCTATTTCTCATAGGGTGAGAATTCTATTTTCTTTCCCAGGGCTTTAGAGATGATATACTATTGATATAGAAACAGCAACATTTTGCTAAGGAAGAATTTAAAAACTGCTTGAAACTACGAGTCAAAGGCTCTGTGGTCCAGATTGATAAAGTAACACATTTGGGACAGAACTTCACAGGGTCTATATGAGCCAGCTTAGATTATAAAAGCAATACTAGTGGTTGCCTGGCATCAGGCTATTTTCTGGGAAAGCTGTGTTAATGAAATGCAGTGTCGATTTTTTGGGCTGGTGATTTTGGGTTCATTAGCAAAGAAACATAGAGGGTTTCCTGCTCAAAACCCTTATGCTGAGAATTAGATGACCTCCATGAAACAGGCTCAGCAAATTCCCATGACGTCAGTCCACTGGGCAGTTTTCCGAGGCAGCACATCATGGCTGTGCCTTCTTAGCAATATTCCCACAAAGTGGAGAAAAGGTTGAGGGGGAGCAACTCTGCCCCTGCTGTCCACAAAATAAATAATTGAATCACATTGAGCCAGTCTAGCAGTACTGTGAGCTTTTCTCTAATAAAAAACAATTTTGATATTTTTTTCCGTGGAAATATATTTTTCTGATTCTTTCCAGATCAAATTTATACATACTCAGCTATTTAGATCCTAAAACGGAAGTTTAGAGTCAGGTGATGAGGCACAGAGCATCATTTCCTGGGAAGGCATGCATCCACTGGAACATAGATTAAGCTAAAAAAGGAGTGTGGAGGAGGTAGAGCACCAGCCAGGCTGGACTTCATGTTCTGTGAAGACCCTGGTTTATTATTACTACAGACACAGCTAATGCTTGTACCCAGTATTGTCTGCATTCTTTCCTATATTAGGAAACTTGAAAACTAGCAGAAGATAAAGTCAAAAGATTGCATAGGAACCCAAACTTGGTTTCCTTGAGAGAGGAGAGAATTTTGGATTAAGTAGATAAAAAAGCAGTAAGAATATTCTTCTTACTGTGGACTACTGCTATTCAATTTCTGTTCAGCTCTATTGAGTACATTGTTGAAGTGATTTATTCCCCACTTAGACTGTAAGCTCTTTAAGGTTAATATTTATCTTAAATACTCTATATCTGGAACACTTAGCACACAGTGACTGACATATTATAAATGTTTGATTGCTCACCTAAAATAATTTTTTATTTCATTTATTAATTTTGGTAAGTGAAGCAATTGTTCATCAGCCAATTTATTTTTCTTTCCTTCCCTCTGAGATTATATCTTGGCCTTCTGATCCACCCAGAAATACTATCATTGGATTCCTAAGAGATCCACTTTAAACCATATCAGCCCTTGAGGCTTTCTTTCAAAGAAAAGTCAGAAAGGCACTGAGTTGAACATTGGCAGTGTCTATCTAACAATTGTCCAGTGGAGGTGGCCATAGCCAAAGGACTCCAGGCATTCTGGGTTCATTCTCAAGACAATATCTACTGTGTAGCTAAATGCATTAGACTACCTGACTCCTATTCTCCTAGCTAGCTTTCTTTTCTGTGATTCTATATTTACTAAGCAGTCTTGTAATTATTATTTAGCTTTCCATGTAGTTCTTCCTGCAAGAAAAGAATGTGCTGCCAATATACACTATAATCTCTTCCCACAAATTAACAAATTAATATTCAAGGTTTATACATCAGTTTTGAAGTTTTATATAAGTTTGCCCCTGAGATGTGGGCAGGAGTGCTAAACAAAAGAACAAAGTAAAAGGAAAAAGAAAATGTCAAGTTTGTGAGCTGCAAGACTGAGAAACAGATCTAGCCTTCAGAAATGATCAAAGGAACAGTGGCCATCAAGTGGTTAGGTGAGGTCTTCTGGGACATAGCCTGGAGGCTTTTCCCCCAAGATGAGCACATACTTATCAGTTCATGCGCTTTCCATATACTTGACACACACTATGGTATTTCTCTAAAAGACGTTAATGACATTGCATTTTCTGCCATTTAGCTTCTTGGTCCCAAACATAGATTTGATTACTGGCTTGTCAAAAGCAATCTGTCTGAAATGCATTGGCTGTATATCTGGCTAGTTAAGAAATGGACATTTGAGTGGTCATTTCTACAGTCACCATACAATACCACTGCACAGCTCACCCAATCATTTCAGCCTCATTCATCATCTATACACGATGCTATGCGATTGCTTTGGAGTATAAGGAGAAACTTGACAGAATATATGATTATTTATGGTCTTACCAGTGCTCTAGCCTAGCTGCTTATCTGTGAATGATGAGCACTACACTGAATGGCTGACTCATTCATTTTACTCATTTTAACAATCCACGAGTGGGACTGATCAGCAGAAAAGCACACGAAACTTCCAGATCATCAGGATGCCTTTATGGGAGTATAGTTAAAGTTTTTACTATTCTGCTCTTCTAAGTTTTAGTTTCCAAATGGCCGCCACCAAACTTACTTTATTTATGCCTTACAGAATTTGTTGTTTATCCTCATGGTAGGTGAGGCAGGTAAGGTAAATATTATTTTAATTTGATTGTTGAAGAATGTAGCTTAGAAAGGTTAAATAATTATGGTAAGTCAAACACAGTTAATATAAGACAGAGCTGGAATCTGAAGCCAGATCTAATCGTCTATGAAAATATAATTCATGCATTAGTTCAAACTTTAAAACAGAGGTTCTTGCATTTTAGTGTACTATACTTAAGAATCATCTGGGACCCTGACTAGATATTGAACTAGTCCAAGCTACTAATTCCTTTTTCCCAAAACAGCTATGGTGAAACAACAAACAGAAACAAAGCAGGAAAAAAAAAAAAAAAAAAAAAAAAGAGGAAAACGTGGATCTAAGAATCTAACAAAAACCTGTGACAAACTTTTGGGGAAAACAAGGCGCTTGGGTTGAGAGGTACAGTACAGATATAACAATAGTAAGATTGGTTGGATAACAACTTTTAAATTACTTGAATTCAGCAGAAAATAGAAAAAGAAAGCTAGGAAATATGGAGTACAGCTGTAGAAGTGCCAAAACTGAGATAATAGAAGTTACAATGAAAAAGAAAAGGAATAAGGCAAGAAGAGACTATTTGAGAAATAATGAGGATAAGTTTTGTTGAAAGACTTAAGACTGCAAGGCCTTAAGGGGACATAGGAAAGATAAGGAAAACCTCACAGCCAGACATAGTATTATGAAATTTCAAAATATGAAAGAAAATCTAAAATTTTCCGAAATAACAGAAAAATCCTTAGAAGGAGGATTTGCTAGGTCTAAGAACATATGCATTTATAGTATTAATTGATAGCACCATGTTATTCTCTGTAAGAATTGCACTAATTTACACTCCCAGCAACAAAGTATAAGAAATGCCTGTTTGCCTTCAGTCTAGCCAACGCAGCACGTTATCAGGCTGGAATTTTTGACATTTTGATAAGTGGTATTTCAGTATGTTTTAAATTTACAATGATCTCATTATGAGCAAAGTTTAACATATTTTCACATGTTTAGAAACCATTTGGTATGTATGTCATTTAATATAAACCGCCTGTTCATATCATTGATTCATTTTGCCATTGGATTTTGGCTTTCTATTTATATTTTTTCCATTTTTCATTTGTCTTTGCTTATGGGTAGAAATTCCTGATCCTTACATGAACAAAAACTCGAATAGTTTATCTTTTATAATTTCTGAATTTTTTATATTGTAAGAAGAACTATCTCATTTCAAGGTTAGGATTCCTGGGGGGCATTTAAAAAAAAAAATTACTAAGCAGCCACCTCAGAATTTCTATTTATGTAATTCTGTTGTAGGGCCAGAAGTCTACTTTAGCTATCCCTGCTCTAGCCTAACAAGCTTTCATATTAGATACTCAGAAAGCAATTAATGGTGATAGTCACCCAAATGTCACTTGAAACCACTCACCAAAGGTACAGCTCTGATTGTAAAAGGGAGAGAATCCCCAAAAAGTAATCACTGTAAGTACTTAAAACATTCACAAAAGCATAATGTTAAAAGCCATGGAACTTAAAAATGGAAGCATGTGAATAGGGCTTCCTCCCACTTCCCCACAGCAAAGATATTTCTTACCTCCATTGCAGGTAGGCACCGCGCTTTCTAGATTCCAGGCCACCAAGCACAGATGGTTTAAGGGTGCAGCTCAGGCCCAGCTGTGCAGAGGGAGGACGGAGATGGGCAGTTCTGGAAAGAAGTTTCTTCTTTCATTGACCCCTATCATATGTTTCCTACACTCAAAATTATTTCCCCTACCTTTATTCCATCAGTTAGAGATTCACCGATTCATTTAACAGCAAGCGCTTTCTCTCGTCACCTTCCTCCCGCCACCCCCCAACCCCCACCACATGTTAGGCCTTTAAACGTCAGCCCCTAGCAACTTACAATACAGTCACCTGGGGAGCTTTATAAAACTCCCAGTGCCTGGGCCTTCAGCTAATCAAGTCAAGTCAGAATCTCTGGAGGCGGGATCCAACAGGTTCTAAAGCCTCTGCAGGTGATTCCAATATGCAGCCAGGATTGAGAACAGCTGACATAGTTTGGGCCCTCCGTCTAGTTAGTCAATTAACAATTCAGGCGCAACACAGAGCAAGCTTAAAGATGCAATAAGAATTTTGAAAAACCTTAAGAAGTGTTTTTGGAGAATTGCATGTTTTCGAGGACACTATTTCCAGATAGGGTATTGCAGTAAAGAAATTGTTTTTCGGAGAGCAGCATGAAGAACTTGGGAAAATTTGACATTTTGTTTTATTATTCCAAGAAGATATTCTGGAAATTCCTTTCTCTCTCTTTATTTTTTATCATTATAAAGGAAAGAGTAAAAGTTACAAATTGGCTCCCTTTCTTCATATCTCTAATTCTTCCTCTCTCCTCTGTCACCAAAATAGATGTACCTTTTTGTTTCCCATAAAGCCTATTTTCCAGATATGAAATATCAGATATTCAGCAGCACAGAAATTGAGTAGGAATTTTTTTCCATCAGTTAAATGCATTTTTCTAATATTTGAAGACATTTGTCATTTAAAAGCAATTTCCCTCTCACTTCGTGCGTGCTTAATTGTGAATGAATAGGCTAATGTGTAATTTGTATATTATCTCTGCATACTGGCTGCTGCTATTTATAGCTAACCTTTTGAACAATAACTGCTGTTTCCAAACCTAACAATTCCCTTTCTGTTTACCACAGTCTTTTCCGTATCAGATGCATATGATCTGAAAATAGAATTTCCTTAATCCTAGCCATTTTTTCCCCATTTTTCTCAATTTTCTATTTTGCCATTAAGTTTTTCTTTTCTCTGTTCTCCTGCAAAGTAATTTTGTTTATATTCCTACTCAGCAGTTCCCAACAAAGAATATCTTTTAAATAAAATTCGTCTATGCAGATTGAAAATATAATTGTGTTAATGACAATATTACCTTGGTTATTACAGAACAAGGAAATAGATACTTCCTATATTGTGAGCCAAGTGTATATTAAACCCATTATTTATGTATATTTATTTTGGATCACAATAATAGATTTTTATTTAATGGGCATGTAACACATTTCTATATTTGAGGCTATGAGCATCATGATTTAAAATTAGAAGCTTACCTATTTAATAAAAACCAACCTCTATTGATACCAAAAATACATACCTTTAAATAGTTATGGGTGCACAATAACTTGATTTTTTACACCATAAAATGTTCATATTTTTAAAAATATAGACATCTAAGCTGGAAAATAGTGTTAAAATAGAGCCTATCAAATTAACCTCTTTTAAAACTTTATTTTACTTATAAAAATATTTTTATAAATTCATGCTGATTAAAAGCTTTAAAAAGTTGAACTAGTACTAATGAAACAACAAAATGTTTATTTTATTATTAAAGAATTTGAAAATTTGGGGAAATTTTGATTTTCTGGTAATTAGCAATAGAATATAATTTCTTCACTAAAAAGCAAAGTTACATACATTCAAATGCTTAGGAATTTTAAAAGTGTCCTCAATGTTGAGAAAATTTGCTAATATTTTCAGAATGCTATCCCTATATTTATGTACACTATTTAAAGTACTTAAATATAAAAAACTTCCTGCCCATTTCATCCTTTTGCTAGTTATAGCAGTATGTGGCAAAGATATTAAATTAATTATTTTGAATCTTATTCTAAGTTTTTTAAAACTTATTCAAATGTGTTTTCACCTTCTGGTTTTATATTGTATTTTCCGTGTCACTTTTCACATGATGAATGTCGGTTCTGTTTTAGCTTTAATAGTGTGTGGCTCTTAGATAGCATTTAGGGTTAATTGGAGTTTTCTGTCTGGTAACATTCTAAAAATTGAAGAACCAGTTTATCAATAAACCCATATTATTATTTCTACTATTTCCTCAAATTAAGTCTGGAAGTCTGACTTTTATGAAAGTGATTGCAAAGTATAAAATGTGAACTACGATAATATTCTGGGACATAATTTTCTGTTTAATAAGAAAAGTATATTCAAATGTTTTATGGCACTATATTATGTGGCTACAAAAAATTAAATGAAAGAGGTTTTATAATTAAATTACTCTACCACAAATGTGTTTTTCATCCTTGATTTAATGTCTATGTCAATGGCTGAGACAAAGGACCAACTGAATTAAAGAGAATGGAATGGGACAGGAATGAGGGTCACATTTTCTGCTTATATTTTTACAAATATTTAACATGAACCACACAATAAACTTGTAAAAAAATTTAAAAACTTAAATATTGTAGTACAGTATAAACTCAGTTCAAGTCAACCGCAGCTTTGATAAAGTAAATGTTATTTTACAATATACTAGTGAAATGGTATATTAAACAATCCACTTTTTTTGGTACTTAGGTTACATTTCATGTATCCTATTTAATCTAGTCATTGCAATTTATATATATTTAAAAGATACAGGCCAGTGGCCTGTATGGTATTCTATGTTTTATTAACAATTATTAGGGAAAGGGAGGTTCCATGATTAACCACTGGATTAAAGAGATTTCTTTATGTTTTTAAAATGCTAATGACATTATGCTTCTGTAAAAAGATATAGTATATGTGTTTTTATAAAGTAATTGATCACAGGATACTTTTTTCATAATTAAGTTGAGGAATAACTGGATTCTATAGAACACATTTGAGAAAATGCTGATATGGCTAATAACCAAGAATCGATATGTTGAGATTCTTTATTCCCTGAGGAAAGGAATAACCAAGAACACATTTCTCAAGTCCTCAGTCGACCCCCTCATCACACTGGTCACTTTCTTCTGGTCTCTCTCTCTGTGATCTAAAAGTTGTCCTGGAGTTTGGTTTATATCAGATTAAAAGAAAAATATATTTCTTGCCTTAAGAAATGTCTGAAGCAGACACAAGAACAGATTTGCTTACTACAAACTTAAAAATTTTTATGATGAAAGGTCAAAACTGCAATCTGAGAATGTATGCAGACATTTGAAGGTGACATATCTATGCTTCAATGTTTTCCATTAACGCAAAAAGCTTCTGTTGGGATGATGGTACAGAGATGAAGTTTGTTATTAAATATCTCATAGCTCCAGAGCTATATAGGTGGAAAAATTTTAGTCAAATTTTCTATGGGAGCAGTAACACAATAGAATGCCATCCTTAGCAATGTACAAAATGAGGCCAACAGATACCAGATAACCTTTCAATTAGCAAAATACCTATAGGAAATACAAAATATATGAAAGTGGATTCCAGGACTATAGAGCACCCCAAAAAGTCAGCCAATATAATCACCCACCTGGTGATTGAGTTCCCTGTTTCCACTATATGGTTTGGTGCCCAGGGAGATGATGATTGCTTCTGCAGTGATAGTGCCCAAGAAAAGGCTAAAAAGCCAAGTCAGAAGTGCAGTTAGATGTTGTGCAGGACACTAAATTAAGTGACATTTTGATCCCCTCCTTCCCTATTGGGGGAAATTTCAGCCAGATATCGGGCGAAATTCACCCCCGATATTTCACGTAGGTTCTTTTCTATATTCCCTACGTGTCGGCTGGTCTGAGAGATAAAGAGACAGAGTACAAAAGAGATAAATTTTAAAGCTGGGTGTCCAGGAGAGACATCACATGTCAGCAGGTTCCGTGATGCCCCACAAGCTGCAAAACTAGCAAGTTTTTATTAGTGATTTTCAGAAGGGGAGGGAGTGTACGAATAGGATGTGGGTCACACAGATCACGTGCTTCACAAGGTAATAAGATATCACAAGGCAAATGGAGGCAGGGCAAGATCACAGGACCACAGGACTGGGGCGAAATTAAAATTGCTAATGAAGTTTCAGGCACGCATTGTCATTGGTAACATCTTATCAGGAGACAGGGTTTGAGAGCAGATAACCAGTCTGACCAAAATTTATTAGGCAGGAATTTCCTCATCCTAATAAGCCTGGGAGCGCTATGGGAGACTGGGGCTTATTTCATCCCTACAGCTCAACCATAAAAGACAGCCGCCCTCTGAAGCAGCCATTTCAGAGGCCTACCCTCAGGGATGCATTCTCTTTCTCAGGGATGTTCCTTGCTGAGAAAAAGAATTCAGCGATATTTCTCCCATTTGCTTTTGAAAGAAGAGAAATATGGCTCTGTTCACTGGCGGTCAGAGTTTAAGGTTATCTGTCTTGTTGCCTGAACATTGCTGTTAACCTGTTCTTTTTTCAAGGTGCCTAGATTTCATATTGTTCAAACACACATGCTTTACAAACAATTTGTGCAGTTAACGCAATCAACACAGGGTCCTGAGGCCACATACATCCTCCTCAGTTTATGAGATGACAGGACTAAGAGATTAAAGTAAAGACAGGCATAGGAAATCACAAGGGTATTGATTGGGGAAGTGATAAGTGTCCATGAAATCTTTACAATTTACGCTCAGAGATTGCAGTAAAGATGGGCATAAGAAATTATAAAAGTATTAATTTGGGGAACTAATAAATGTCCACAAAATCTTCACAATCCATGTTCTTCTCCCATGGCTTCAGCTGGTCCCTCCATTTGGGGTTCCTAACTTCCCACAACATTCCCAAAATGTTATAACTCTGATGTAAATAATTAAAATTAATCCAAAATATGAAGTATAATACAATTTTGTATGTTATATTTATATAACCTTATGCTAATCTGTGTATGCCAATTGCTGGCATCATTGATTTTTTTAAAAGAAGCTGTTTATAAGTTGTGTACTGTTCACACTGACTACACACACCACAGAGGGGAAATGCTTCAGAGAGGAAATGGAAGGAGAGCTCATGCCTGAAAAATGTCCTAAAAAAAATCAATAGGGAATCTGTTTTACTTTTTATTGTTTCCTAGTGTCTGATCAATATCTGGTCTGCTTAGGACAGTTATAATGGTGAGAGGTTCCTCCCTGAAGTTGATGCCACCTTTAGCTTAGCCTGCTGGAAGATTCTATGTTATCCCTTCTCTCCAATCCTTCATTTTATAGATATTGTCAATGACTTTGGAAGGTGCTTAGGATTTCCACCTATACTAGAAAAAAATGTGAACAAGAGAACCTTCAATAAGTTGGGAAATCTAGAGCAGAGAGAACTTGTACCTTATGCAACAAGGTATCAAATAGTCTCAGTGTCAGCTGAGACACTAATTCAATAGATACCATATTTCAAAGTGAAATGCGAGGTTATGACCTAGGAATTATAAAGGAGGAGTTCTAAGAATCATTACATGACTTTCAATCCTTCACCCTTATCAAACTTGTATAAAAAATTTAAATGATTTGAATATTGAGAGAAATGTTAGTAAGCCATGAATCTTTCCCTGCTCCCCAAGTGTGGAGAGATGAAGGTGCTTTCCCTTTAACCTTCAGTCTGTAAAGAGGGCCTTAGGAGATTCCTCAAAGACCTTGATATATATCTTCTGTTTGGAGGCCCCAGGGACTGGAAATTAAACTCTGAGAAATATAAGGCAAAACTGTGATGGGCTTGTTTCCCTGGTGGCAAAGCAAAACATGACTGTGTTGAGAACAACCAGATATCCAGAGCTCGTTAAGGGTGATGGAGGAGCATGGAAGGCTGATACTTGTCCTACTCATTCACTGGCTAAAAACAAGAAGAAGCTGGCTTGGGACAATCTTATGGCCTTTTCCCAAAGGCCTCTGAGAGAGATGCACATGCCAGTAAGAGAAAGAAGCTTGAGATATCATTGGATGCCTAGGGCCAAAGAAGACAAAAAAAATGCACCCAAAATAAAGATGGGCTGCCCCACTAAAGGGAACTGTAGGAGACAGGCTCCCTAAAGATGGGCTGTGGGTGGGGCATTTGAAGAAGCCATGACAGTCTACCTCACCCCCAACACTGTGACCAAAAAAATGAGATTTCAATTCCAAAGAGAGCCCAGGCCAGCTTTCAATAATACTAACCGGGTAAGGCCTTCTCTGTTCCTTTTTTTCTCTTCCTCTTCTGCTTGCTCTGACCTTGGTGGGATTAGACATCATGGTGTGGTACATGGGGGAGAAGCAAAGAAATACAGACGAGAACTAACAAAGTTGAGAATTCTTAACTTTCGGTAGAGATTAAAATTGGGATAGTTACACTGGCCAGGAGATATTTACTAACTAGAGAACTTTCCATTACCTGAAAGTGAATAAGAAAAATCATATCTCCTCATGATTATGATCCTTTATTTATTCTTGTTCAGTTTTTTTTCCCAAGGGAGGCCCAGGGCAGTTGCAAGATCCCAGAGGTCTTTGCACACAGAAGGGTGTAGCAGCAAGAGCATATACATGTTATATGCAGATGGAGGGACATCTGAACATGTCCTGTTCTTTAGAGAAAAGACAAGGAAGAATAAATCAGCAGCAGATAATAGGATGGATAATCAATAACCAAGGAATTTAGGTATAATTCAGAAAAACAAAGAAGAGGGATAAATCTGAATTGACTGAAAAGACATTTGTTGACAGTTGACATTGTGTTGACAGTCTACAGTTAGTGGACTAAAAGTGAATTTTTAGCCATCATCTTGAGAGAAATTAAGTTGAATAATAGAAAAATTAAGTTACATTTTTGGGTCTCAACTTGAAGCCTGAGAAATTTTTACCCATCACATTCAACATACCTAAGAGGAATCCACCTTAGAAACATTCAGTTTCTCTTTTGAATCTACTTTTGTTAGAATTGTTGTTTTAGAATTGTGGTTCTCCAGATTCAAAGTCTAAATTTCATATTCAGTCAAGCCCCATACCAAGCCTTGCTCATTCCTTTGTAGCTCTGATGAAAATTGTTTACTTTTTATTCCTGTGGGCACTTCCAGAATATGACCCATTTTCAAATCAAATCTTTATTACTAGAGTAACATCCGAAGTGGTCTCTGACTCCACCACACTCTGTTGTGCACACTTCTGATGACTCTTCTTCAAGGTATGCAATTTCAGAGGTGTAGAGCCCCTTTGGGATTATTAGGCATCTGGTCTTATAGTGACAGTCTCCTACTCAAAGACTTCCAATGGCTCCGGCTCCCAATGTTGCAATCAATGTCCTTGCCCACCTTGGATCCCAGTGTTCTCTTACTTTCTAATCTATTAGTGCTCGTCATCTCTCAGAAATGACATTTCAATTCTGTCTTCCACTTTGCCCCTTATATTGTTTCTTCCCAACATATTCTCCTCGAATTTTTAATTAAAATTTTTGAGAAGACTGTAGATTTGCACTCAGTCATATAAGAATAATACAGTGAGATCCCTTGGCAAGTTTTCCCCAGTGGTACCATTTTGCAAAATGATTGTACAATATCACAATCAGGATACTGACATTTGATACAATCCACTGATCTTATTCAGATTTTTGGAGTTGTACTTGTATACCTATGGAAGGGGGAATATGTGTGTGTGTATTAAGTTGTATATAAATTAATCACCTGTGTAGGTTTGTGTGTATACCAACACAGTCAAGATAGTGAACAGTTCCAGCATCACAAAAATCTCTCATATTGCCCTTTTTATAGTCATATTCACCTCCTTCTTCAGTCCCCATCCCTAACCCCTGGAAACCATTCATTTATCTCCTAAAGTCTTGTCAAAATGTACTGTATATGAAATTCCATAGCATGAAACCTTTTGGGATTGGCTTCTTCTGCTCTGCCTAATTGCCTGGAGGTTCATCCAAGTTGTTGCATATATGAATAATAGCCATTTAATTAACATCTGTTGACTGAATGATAATTTAATGATTCAATATGGATAATGCCCTGCTTTTGTTTCCAAAAATATTTGATTTAGATTATCTTTTGACATCAGTTTTTCAGGGTATTTCATACTTCTTGATTTCGTGTGAATTAAGAAACTTAAGGAATACATTTTCTTTCATCACCATGAAACTTCAATACTCAAACACACTGGGTGGGGAAGGAAAACAATTCTGTGGGAAGGAGAAAGACTTTGTAGCTCCCACACAAAATCTTGGCTGAAACTCAGTGGGCTGATATGTACCCGTTAGCACACGCAGGAGGCAGGGAAGATCTCAAATAAAGAATCACAAAGTCCATCCTTATAAACCAAGCTTCCAATCCTGGATAAACAGGAGAATCATTTGGTGAATTATTTAAAAACAGAAATTATGGGATTCCACAAAAGATAATAAAATCGTACTTTTTGAGAGTGGATCCACTAAATCCAGAACTAATATTCAAGCAAAATGAATGTTTCTAGTTAGCATCTAGCATCTGTTTTGATTGGATAGTGCTCAGGTCTTATCAGTTTTTAAATATTTTAAATAACACCTCCAGTTCCATCACATCTTACATATACTGAATTTAAAATATTATTTGACGCTGACTAAAATTGTTATTAGAAAATTTAAATGAAATTCTGATGCCTTTTGTAGGAGCAGAACACATAACATGAATTGTAAAGTCCCCTCCATAATCCAAACAAACGACTCATGCCAAAATGTTTCTAAAACAGCATCAATAGTGTAATTTGTAGACAAAACTACAATATGTCTTTCTATTCTCTTTATTTTCATGTGTTTACTCATAAACAAACATTTATGGAGAGCTTGTTTATACCAGCTCTCTTCAGTGTGATCTAATAAAATTCTTTCAAGAAGTTTTAACAGGCATTTCTGGCTTTCCTCCAATAGCATTTTGCTATTCTTTCTAAGTAACAGAACTTCCATTTATTTGGGGGTAGAGATGTGCCCAGTTAAAATCTCAATTTCTGAGATTTCCTTAAGGTGAGGATAGCCATGTGACACCATTATGGTCAATTATAAGGAAATTGAAGGCCACTAGGCAGGAGATCTGGAAAAACTACTGTGTACAAATAAAATATTGACTATACTAATCTTGCATGTGCCTTTTTGCCTGTCACTTTTCTCCATTATTCTTTCTGTCAATGCAAATTAGATAAACGGAAGCATGGCAGCCATCTTGTGATCACAGGTTAGGCACAGTGGATAATGAAACAGGAAGCCAGAAAAAGCCTGGTTTCTTGAACACCTTCACTAGATCGGATCTGAAAGCACCAGTCTCTGTTTTTTTTTGTGAAATAAACCACGTATTTGTTTGGGATTCTGTTAAATGGAGTCAAATGCAATTATGACTGACAGGAGAATCAAAACCACCCAAGTAATACAAGTAATTTCTGCTTAAAACAAATGTGAGCTACTTGCTCAGTTTCCAGAAATTTAGTTTCTTAACTATTTAATGTAATTTACTTTAATGTTCCAATGATTATCTTTCCTTAACTTTTGAGTATTACATCACTGCACACTTGTTTTTCATATTTCCACCCTATCCCATAGCTCGATATGATCTAATTTTCTCCCTAGTTATCCTTTCATCCCACCTCTTTGGTTATAGACATTCAATCAGAAGCCCTAGGATAAAATTCTCCTGTATTTTATAGACCAAACATGTCCACGTTTCCCTAGCAGATCACACCTTACCCTTTTGTAACCAGGATTGAGATATTACCCTCTGGTTATAATGAAGTATGTGCTATTCCACAAACATATCCCATTCTCCCACGCCCACCTTCCCAGAGAAGTTATTTCTTCTACTTATAATGACTGTTTACTCTTCCCTTATCTACTTAGCCAATCCCTAGTCTTACTTTAAGTCTCCAAACAAGCTATCTTTCCTGTTAGAGCTAAGTGTTTTCTTCCTATGTTCTCAAGGCATTTAGTGTATATTTTTAATTTGGATTGCAATTACTTGTCTCCCCACTATACCATGAACATCTTTAGGACAAGAATAATGTCATGTCAATATTGGTGCTCCACACTCCCCACCTAGCACATACTAAGCACTCCATAAATATTTTCTAAATGAGTGTTGACTCTCAGTTATCCACACCTTAAGAAAACCAAAATGCAGATTAAACCTTCATAAAGTAATATCATTCCATACCACAAGAACCAAGCAGTAATTCTCTTTGTCTCTATAGAATTTTTAGTAGATTTCTAAACCTCTTTGGTTTTAACTAACATCAAACTTTTCTTGAGGCATGTACCCATCTTTGATATTTTGCACATACATTTTAGCCAGAATCTACAAACGACTGCAAATAGGTACAAACATATAACACATAATCCCTTCTGGCTATAGGAGAGGAAGGGGTATTTCTGATAAATAAATATCCACATTCCCTAATGTTTTCAAGAACTACTCTAGGTATGTTTGTATGGACTCCTCCAGAAACAGAACCTGAAACAAGAATGTACCCTTATTTACATACAGTTAATTTGGATTTACATACAGTTAATTTACATACAGTGCATGTACCCTTATTTACAAACAGTTAATTTGGAGGTGTACCAGGAAACACTGGTCAGGGAGTGAGTAGATTGAAATGAGGCCAATAAAGGAGCATTATCCAGCAAGTCACCATATAGGCACCTTTGGCTCAGTCCTGCTGGGGGACTTCAGCAGACATTGTGAAACCTAACCCCAAATTATGCCCTCAGTGACAGAGAGGAAGCTGGAGTTTTTAGACTCCAGCTCCAATCAGCAGTGGCTAAGTGTTGTTCCCAGAGAACATAAGCTTTCAGCATTTCTATTCTGATCAAACCTGGGCTGAGGGAAAACCCTTGGATAAAAGTTGCAGCTGTTTGCAGAAGGAAGGCTTAGACACGAACTGGAAAAGAGTGCCAAGGGATATGGGTGGGGCAGTAACAGCATGTACTTCATTAGGCAAGCTGGAATACAAATAAAATGACATTTTCCCTAATCCCATTCCATATGTCCCAAGTGATCAAAAGATATTTTTTCACACATTGTGATTTGAACTCTAGAATAATATTTAAGTAAGGATTTTAAGTATTGAATTAGGATATTTAAGCAAAGGTTTAATAGAAGAAGGAGTAAGGTTAGAGCAGGAGTAACTATCCACTAAGGATACTACTTCCTGGAAAGTATGTCCTTAGAGGAAGAGTTGAGAAGGTTTAGAATGAACAGGAAAAGGCGGTGTAGAGCCATTGTAAGATTCTTAAGTGGTTGCCATTATGCGCACAGATCTTTGTGGACTCAACATAGAACAAGGACTTAATGTAAATGTAACCAGAGTTTAGATACTTCCAGCTTGGGTGCAAACAGTGTTTTTCACTCCCTCTTTCCCAGCCTGTTGCCAGATATATTCCATCATGTACTCAACTCTGTAATACCCAGATTGGAGAAAGTCCTTTCCTCTTGATTCTAATGTTCATCAGAAACAAGTTCTAGAATACAGACCTCCCAGACCCAGGGTAACCATTCGTAGCTTCCACCCCCACCAGCAAGCAGGTGCCAGCTCTTTCCACCACAGTATTTTTTTCCAGGAGGATTATTGCCATGTTCTATCCCTAGGTCTTGATTAAAGCCATTGGAATCCATATTTTTTAAAAATGCTTCGAATTTTGAATCTCAAAAAGAAGCTCTTGGTAACCTTAGACCACCTTCCTTCCAGAATGCCTCTAAACTCACTGTGACCCACTCCCTCCTTAAGACAAACACATCAAAAAAAGAGGAGCATTTACTAAATCATCAAGAGTAAAATGGGAGTGGTGATCAACTTCCTATACCCCTTTCTCCTGGAACATTTTTTGAAATGGTTATTTCCATTCTGATTACTTGCTTTTCCAAATATGCCTCTATCAAATAGGAATTACTACTGTGTTTCTGTCACTGGAGTGTTTAAGGCTGAGACAAGATAACACTTGTCAGGAATGCTCTAGAAGTGATTTATACATCAGACAGGTTGAACCAAATGATCATTAATCTTCCTTTCTAATATGGAGATTGTTATATCTCTGTAAGACTCTTTCAACTTCTTAAAAATGTTCTTTAATTAAATTCTTTTTAATTTTCAAATTTAAAAATTTTCCTTGGAGAATTTCTCTGCCCTTAATTTTATAAGCAAAAATTTCATTAGGCCAAAATAGGGACTTCCTTATCACAACGTCATTGTGAAACTAAGAGATCTGAGGTGAAGTGGTACCTCATTATCTGAGCTCATTATCTTAGTCCTGGCCTCAGCATTGGCCTAGAAAACGCTTGTGTGATTTTGCTGGGAGTTGGCAGATGGGCTGATAGGCAAATGCCCAGCTGCTTGTCATAATTCCGATAAAGGAAGCTTGGCCTGAACATTCACACAGCCAACTCCTGACAGCAGGGATGGCAAAGCAGTGAGCGAGGCATCTGCCTTTTCTAACTGCCACATGCTGCAAGCACGAAAGTAGAACCGAACATTACACAACATGTTAACAAAATGCCTAGGTGAAATATATCAAAGACATTAAATTAATTATAGCACACAGACCTTAAAGAAATAGCAGAGAGAGATTCAAATCTAAAAGTCAGTTGTTTTAGAAACAATGAGCTATGGTGGTTTTACTGAATTGAATCCATTTTGTTTCTATTCTAAGCATGCATAGACTCAGCTTTCATGTTGCTAATTAATGCCAAGCCTATTCCTTTTTATTCTTTTTTTTTTTTTTTTAGAGAGACAGTGTATAAGTCCATTTTCACATTGCTATAAAGATATTACCTGAGACTGGGTAATTTATAAAGGAAAGAGGTTTAATTGACTTGCAGTTCTGTATGGCTTGGGAGGCCTCAGGAAACTTACAACCATGGCAGAAGGTAAAGGGGAAGCAGGCATCTTCTTCACAAGGCAGCAGGAGAGAGACAGCGAAAGAGGAAGTGCCACTTTTAAAACTATCAGATATCTTGAGAACTCACTCACTATCACCAGAACAGCATGGGGGAAACCACCCCCATGATCCAATCACCTCCCACCAGGTCCCTTCCTCAACATATGGGGATTACAATTCGGATTACAATTCAAGATGAGATTTGGGTGGGAACACAGAGACAAACCAAATTAGACAGTTTCACTCTGTTGTTTAGGCTGGAGTGTAATGGTATGATCATAGCTCGGTGCAACCTTGAATTCCTGGGCTCAAGTAATCTGTCTCAGCCTCCTGAGTAGCTAAGACTACAGATATGCCACCATGCCTGGCTAATTTTTATATTTTTGGTGGAGATGGGATCTTGCTGTGTTGCCCAGGCTGGTCTTAAACTCCCAGCTTCAAGCCTTGGCCTCCCAAAGCACTGGGATTACAGGTGTGAGCCACCATACTTGGCCCTATTTCTGAATCTTAAGAGAGAAATTCAAATCATTCAGCATTTCTGCATGTTGTATAAAGTTTGTTAGAAAAGCTATAATTTGTGCCTAAATAATTCCAAAGGCTCCTGATACTGGCCTCTAGTCATGATCTCCAAAACATATGAATTTTAGTAATGTGTAAATAATATATTGTCTGGAATTTTTGAAAATTGTGCTGCTGATTTTAGGAGCTTACAATTATTTTTCCCTTATGTATATCCCATTTAAAATTTACTCAGCATCTATTCTTCATGCAATTAATATAATTTAATATTACAACACTGAGTATGGGCTGTCTGTTCCATTTCACTAAATAATATGGCATTATTTTTAAAAGAAAGATTTGGCGAGGCGCAGTGGCTCACGCCTGTAATCCCAGCACTTTGGGAGGCTGAGTCAGGTGGATCACGAGGTCAGGAGTTCAAGACCAGCCTGGCCAACATAGTGAAACCCCATCTCTACTAAAAATAAAAAATTTAGCCAGACATGGTGGCGGAAGCCTGCTACTTGGGAGGCTGAGACAGGAGAATCGCTTGAACCTGGGAGGCAGAGATTGCAGTGAGCCGAGATTGCTGCATTGCACTCCAGCCTAGGCGACAGCCTTGGTCTTACCAAAAAAAAAAAAAAAAAGTAGAAAGATTTAACAAAATACGTAAGAATATTTGTAAAAACCTCAATATTCCAGAAAATTGTGCCATAAATTCATCTGCAATTCAGTTCTTTTGTGGAATAATATTGCCTAGCCTCAGTAACTGCTAAGAAAACAGTCTCTTCATGTAAAAATATGATTGAAGTTTGTTTTGAAACATTTAAATAAAGCTTTTATTGAGCTCATGGCCACTTAAATGTATTCCCAGGAAATACAATTAAAGTAGTGACCGTCCACCAGAATGACAAAATTAGAAAACCAAAACTATGCAGAAACATTTAACCCCTAAATTGCCTTAAAACAAGAGAGGAAAAGCCCTGATTTGGAAAATCCCTTCTTCTGGGGCTTTTTACTTTGTGCAGTTTAATCTTTTGTTATTGGACTCAGGAGACAAAATGACATTACCATTGTGGCTGGATTCAAAATGAACCACTCAATAAATACCTGACACAGAGAATGACTAAGATTTTCTTTGCTGGGAGCCTATCCCTTAAGTTTTCTTTTTTTTTCTTTCTTTCTTTCTTTTTTTTTTTTGTTTGTTTTGTTTTTCCAGAGACGAGGTCTCCCTGTGTTACCCAGACTGGTCTCGATGTTCTTTATATAAAAGACGGATGGATGGATGGATGGATGGATGGATGGATGGATGGATGGATGGATGGACTGACTGACTGCAGCATGCCACGGCTTTGTCAGAGAAAATAAACATGTATCCCAAAATATGTGCTATAGTCAACCCTTTATGTACCTTACAATTTGTGACCCACACAGTTGCTACATCCACTACAGCAATAATGACATATTATATTTATATCCCAGTAATCATCTTCCCATCTATATTCACTTTTGATTTAAAAAAGTAGCTTGAACCTAAGTCACACAGTGATTTTCATGTCCTGGCTTCTGTTCATGGTAAACAGAACAATAGAAAGTATGGAACTAAAAACAAATGAAGAAAAAAACAAAAATAAAACAAAAAACTCTGTATTGTACAATCTTTCATAAGTCGGAACATTCTACTGATCTTCTCTTAAGTTTGCCTAAACTAGCATGATTACTAATATTTTGAAACAGGTGGTCTGGTGTAACACGCAGAATTGCCTAAAAATGATGACAGGATTATCTGGGGTTTCCTAGGTAATGAATTGAGACTTTGGGCTGTCAGCGGTAGAGAAAGGACCCAATCTCAGCTTTCTATGACATCAATTACTTCCTCCCCAAGGCAAGAAGAACTATACCTCCTGGTGAGTCCTAACACTTCCAGTACTGTCCCAGAAAATGCCTACCAATAGCCAGCACCTAAACCCTGCCTTTTTGATATTCAAGTGGACTATAGATTCCCCCACCCTGGCAAGGTTGCTTTTATACTTGCCCTTTAAGAAGAGCAAGGTACAGAGGGGCAGCATCTCCTCCCTGGAACACATGCTCATGGCTGGTCCAGCCCAGTACCTTGACCTCACTAGCCTTTCTCTGGGGACAGTAAAAGATGGGTTGTTGCCTGTCCTTTCTTTTTCTTGATCCATGTTTGTCGATTTAAAAAGCCTGTTCCTTCACAGACACGGTATGACATTGTAGAATTCATCTCAAGCCTTGTTGCCCTACAAATGACAACCAAAAAAAGATCACCTTGCTCTGCGTGTTATATGGTAAAGTGACAGAGCCCTTGACAGGAGTCAGTGTTGATTCTTCTTATCCACTATCTTCTCTGAAGTGCATGCACAAAATCAGGTTAGCCTAGCTGATTTTTATGCCTGAATTTGAGCAGAGAGAACTCAAGAACTATGTAATAGCTAAGCTATGTAAATACAGTCTGAACACATCTGCCATCTCTTGGCAAAATTGAGTACCTGCTCTGATGAATTCAATTCAGCAAATGTATATTCCTGCTTTGCCATGCAGCATAACGTCCTGGACGCTTCAGGGGAGCAGAAAATGAGCCACATTTTCTACCTTCTAGACTATCTTTTACCTGAAGTCTTTTGTATGAGTACAGATCTTATATTCTTACAGCAGCTCACTAGGTTAATGGCTTGAGCATTTTTTCATATCTGGAAGACTACACCCTGGCCCTTTCCAGACAGTTAATGGTTCTGTATCTAGATTAAAGCATAAACCTGCCAGATCAGTAATTGCTTAATACTCCTCAGAGAGGAGCTGAATGGGCCCTGCTTGGCTACCAATGGCAAGTTGGGATCTTGGAAACTGAAAAAGGGACAAAGAATTATGTTCAGAGATACTAAACACTGGAAGAACCCGAAACTTAATGTGAGCTAAGTCTGCAGAGAGCAACAAGCCCAAATTCCTTCAAGTCAGTCATAAAATTAAATGTGAAACATGGAACCAGAAATGGATGACAAAGCAAAAGGTCAGCAGGACTGACACCCAGTGGGGGTGGTAGACGGGAGGTACCAGGGAGTAAGAGCTAGAACAGAGAGAGGGATCCAGGACAACAACTGCAAACAGAGCAGCTTTTACTTCCCAGAGGACTTGGGGGTACATGAGTCAGACTGATTTAAAAGTTCAAGGCCAGGGCAGACAGCAGTAAATGAAAAAAGTTATTATTCTTGCATTTATATAGTACCTAAATTATTAAATTTCCTTGAGGCTCATTCCAATACTGTTGAAAACACAAACAGGCACCTTTTGTTTCATCACCTTGAAGAGTCCAGAAGCTGCAGCACAAAGCTTTTTCAAAAAAATCTTTCAAGCAACATAAATGAAAGCTCTAAAGCAAACATCATTGCTGAATGGCAAGATAAAATAGTTGTTTCTGAAGTGGAATGCAGAAGCTAAAGTATAGCATTTCAAATTTCAAAATGATAAAGCAATTTTCTGATAAAAGTTTTACAAAACATTTTGTTTTCAGCACAGTGACCTTCTGTGCCCCTGGCCAAAGTACAATCATTTACACATTTTTTTTTTTAATCCACTCCATGAACTGTTTTGAACTAATGTCAGCTTATTAGTTCCTACTTCGGGAAAAATTTTCCAGCCTCTGTTTTTCACATATTTTATCTGACATTTACTCTCTCTCTCTCTGGGTGTCAATCTTCTATTAGCTTTAAAACTAGAGTTTATAAGCTTAAAAATCCTACAATAGCTGAAGCTAGCGCACATAGAAAAAAAAATCTCCAACTATGAAAGAAAAGAGCTGCAGCAAGACTCGTTTTAACAAGTCACAATTTGCATGTGTATTCAGCAAGTGTGTGTTGGACTCTTACTAACTGCCAGACACTCACAGTTCAGGAGCCTGGGAATATCAGGGGACAAAACATGTGGCAGAGATAATTGATAATATGGACAATTAACAATAAATATATAATCATGGTAAGTGGTAAACAATAATATATATAATAATGTAAAGTAATATAATATATAAGAATATAAAGTAATAATGTAAGGCATAAAATAATGGTAAACACAATGAAGAAAAAATAAAGAAGGCTAAGGGGGATGGAAAATGATGATGAAAATGCCATTTTAAATGCAGAATATCTGAAAGGCAAATATAGAGCCAGTATGTGTAAATGTTAAGGGTTGAAGACCTGAAGTCAAACACGTCTGGATTTTAAATTCTAACTTTATAATTCATTAGCATTGTGTCTTTAAGCAGCTTGTCTCCCTAAATAAACTTCAGTGTCCTAATCTCTAAAGTGGGGATAAGGCAGCCTACTTCAAAGGGCTTGTGTGAGCACTTAGCCCAATGCTGGGCATGCACCAATGCTCCAGAAATGTTTATTCATATTATCTGAGTGTGATTTGTAGGAAAGAAAGAAAGAAAGAAAGAAAGAAAGAAAGAAAGAAAGAAAGAAAGAAAGAAAGAAAGAAAGAAAGAAAGAAGGAAGGAAGGAAGGAAGGAAGGAAGGAAGGAAGGAAGGAAAAGAAAAGAAAGAAAGAGAAAGAAAGAAAGAAAGAAAGAAAGAAGGAAGGAAGGAAAGAAAGAGAGAGAGAAGGAAGGAAGGAAGGAAGGAAGGAAGGAAGGAAGGAAGGAAGCGACACAGAGAGAGAACGTGTATGTGTTGTGCATCTCTACTAAAATAAAAAAGCCTTTTCTCCTATCATGGCACCATGATTATGTCTTTGGCTCTAACAAATAAACTTATTAGGAGCAAACTGCCTAGATCTTATCTGACATCCCTCTGCATTTTCCCAGTGGTCAGAGGACCCACGTTGGTTTTCGTTAACTTATTTTCCTTGGGGTGCTCTGAAGTCATTTTTACTGGCTGTCTCTACTCCAGCAAAATGAAGAGTCTGTTGAACTGCCAGAGGCTTTAGTTGCCATTTTATTTTCCTATATCATCTCCAGTAAGTCAACATTTTTCCTACCAATTTTCTCATCTATCTTCCAACCCAAAGTAATGCTACATCATAGAGCCATGGGTAACATGATATCAAAAGAAATAAACTGTTTTACATATAAAAAGACTGCTCCACATATTTAAAAAAAATAAAATCCCCAGACTGGATTCTTTGCAGTATTGCCCACAGGTGACAGACGTGACCTTTCTGAAATGATGGCAATTTTTTTTCTTTCTTTCTTTCTGCTTTTACAGACAAGGACATCTGATAATGATGGCAGATTACAGCCAACACCAACCCTGCCATGACTTTGCCTGACTTCACCAGCACTTCAGCACCACATTACCCAGGTCTATTACTCAACCTGATTGCATACTCCTACTCAAATCCCTACTCACACAGGCTGGTTACCTGAGGAATCATCCAGAAAACTACTGTATCACATAAATGAGAGTGACAAAGGGACTAGGGTTGAGGCATAATTGGTTGCAGAACTAGAACTAAAAATCGAGTTTTGTGATTCCTGGTTCATCTAGCTCCATTCATTTTACACTCTGCTTCTCCGCTCTGAGTGAATACAGCAAACTTATCCCACAAAACTAACAAGCAAGAATATATTAACAGAGAAGGGGTTGATTTTTGCATAGAGTGCAGATTTTTCTACAAGCCAGTTGCAAATGCCATCAACACAGGCCATTATGTAGCTACAATGTTATTTAAAGTTATTCTACTTTCATACAAAATGTGTAGTAATACTAAATAGTAGACTTAACATTTGGATCAATTTCACAGATAATGATATCATATTTACTGAGTAATAGCACCAAAGACTAAACAAATTCTGTGAAAACTGAAGCCCTAGCAAAGAAATTGGAATACATCACTATGCTTTCGGTAATTATATCGCTCCAAAATAAATCACTTGTGGGTTGAGGTTTTATATAGAATCCATCTGGTGCTTGAACCCACAATGGCCTTTCTTTTATATTTACTCGCAATTGTATAAATTGCTATATATCTGTATCTATCAAGAGAATCCGTTATGCATTCCTGATGATCATTTTAGTAGAATAAACACATACAGCAGGCATCAATCATCACAAATAAAGACAAACCAAAAATTCAAACTCCATGTGTCTCCACGCACATACGATTATGGACAAAATTCATTTAGTTAAATATTGGCTTCAAAAATACAGGTTAAAATCGTCATTTGTATTCATTTTGAAATAATGAGTAGTCTTTATGAAGTTAAAGCATATTTAAATAAGTGCTGCCCTTATACCCAGGAAAGAGGGACCTCTGCCTTAGGTCTTGCCCTTTAAGTGGTCCTGCATAACATAAACACAAGCAAAAAATAAACATATTGAAGAACACCTGGGTGCCACTGTCAATCTGGATCACTCATTGCCACTACAGCACAGCCTATAACTCTGAACACCTGTTCTAATAACTAACACCATTCAGGCCTCTGAAATAAAATTATCCACATCCCTTGCCTTGTATTGTAGAAACAAAAGACAACTGCATTGTGAGGGTTGTGAAGGTTTGTGAGCTGTGCCACTGGACACTGCCTCAGAGGAGCATGTGGGCAGTGAACGTGTTTAGGTAAGAGAAAAGACAAATTAATCAAAACTACTTAGATCCTCCCCCTCAATGCGATAGTCTTACATAACAAAGGGCAGAGCGTCCACTTCCAGGACTATCTCCTAAAGCAAAAATCCAGATTATGTTTTTTCAAAAAATAGGTAAAAGGTACTGGGCACGGTGGCTCACGCCTGTAATCCCAGCACTTTGTGAGGCTGAGGCGGGCAGATCACGAGGTCAGGAGATCGAGACCATCCTGGCTAACAGGGTGAAACTCCGTCTCTACTAAAAAATACAGAAAAATTAGCCGGGCGTGGTGGAGGGCGCCTGTAGTTCCAGCTACACAGGAAGCTGAGGCAGGATAATGGCCTGAACCCGGGAGGCGGAGCTTGCAGTGAGCCGAGATCCTGCCACTACACTCCAGCCTGGGCGACTGAGCAAGACTCCGTCTCAAAAAAAAAAGTACAAGAATTTTTATTTATGTATTTTTAAAGAAGAACAACCTAGATTTTCAACATAAAGGAATGGTTAAATATAATTATACACCAGTATGGTAGGATATTGTGACCAGATATTTAAAAATTATGTTTTCACAGAATATTTATTGACTTAGGAAAATATTCAAAGGGACAGAACAGGATATAAAAACTGTGTGTTACATTTGCTCTAACTTTTTTTAAGGTATTTATAACCTGGGCAAGATGGTGAAACCTTGTCTCTACCAAAAAAAAGAAAGAAAAAAAATTAGCTGGGTGTGGTGTCATGCACCTATAGTCCCAGGTACTCCAGAGGTTGAGGTGGAGTTTGCAGTGAGCTGAGAAAAAGCCACTGCACTCCAGCCTGGGCAACGGAGCTAACCCTGTCTCAAAAAACAAAAAACAAACAAACAAAAACGTATTTATAGGCCATGCTCAGTGGCTCGTGCCTGTTATCTCAGCACTTTGGGAGGCTAAGGCAGTAGCCAAGAGTTCAAGACCAGCCTAGGCAGCAAAGCAAGACCCTGTCTGTACAAAAAAAAAAAAAAAAAAAAATTAATTTAATAAATAAATAAAAAGTATATCTGAAAGAAAATACATCAAAAATGTACATAATATTTGTATCAGTTTGAATGAGTCAAGGTCAATCATTAGTACTCAGTTAACAGCTACTTAAAACAGAAGGATATTTACTGTTAGTTTAACAAAAAGTCTAGAGGTAGGCAGTACTAGTATTAGTTCAACAGTGCAACTCTATCAATGATCAAAGTTCTGTTTAGTCTTTCATTATGTTGCGCTTAACATAGTTTTTGTTGCCTCATGATTGCAAAATAGCTGCCACAGCTCCAAGCCTCACATACTCACATGGCTGTATTCAAACAAGAAAGTAGAATGGAGGTCAGCAAATGAAGCTTTCCCCTAAAATACAACCTTGTTATTAAGGAGCAAAATCATGCCAGAAACATCAGAAGACTTCTGAATCTCACAGGCAGAAGTGGGTCACATGCTTAAACATGGGAAGAATAATGGCATGGCTTATGATTGTTTTAGACTAATCATGATTCATTTCCTGGGGCTGGGCATATTGTCACTTAAAATCTGGTTGTTTTACAGGAGAGAAAAATGGAAATGACCATTGGATAGGTTACTAACAATATCTCTTCTAAAGAATTATTACTAAACAGTAGAATTATAACTGATTTTTATTTTTTGTCTTTCTATATACATTTCCAAATTTTCTACAATCAGCACGAATTACTTTACAATAAAATGATAAAATGATTAATTTTTCTTAAAGAAAATGCCTCCAAATATTTTAAGGCTCCTAAAGAATTCCTTCAACCTGATGGCAAATGCTTAAATTAACTGGCCCAAAAGACATTCCCTCAAGGGTCATGAAAACATAATCCAGTAAATTTGCAAAAAACTATTATGGCTGCACCACTGTTTACAACCTCAAGTCAGAATAACCTATTCAATATGATTTAGGTTATAGCTAGGGGAAATGTCTTGCTAAATTTAAGAAATAATAAAGAGGACGGAATAAATTTGAGGCTAAGCCTACTCAGGCAAGATCAGTGTTTACACCAACAGAGGCCCTAGTTCATGTAAATTACTTCTCACCCAACTGCTTAGTCTCTTCTTCTTTAGTGTCTGATATCTCTGGGTTCCAGATTTCCCAGACAGTGTAGCCAATTTTTAAGTCTAATAAATATTTTTAAAAATAGTCTAAAGGAAAAAATGGAAAGGGAAAATCTTGGAACAGAATTTCACAGACATTTTAAAGCAGATGTTCAAATTCTGACCCCACAATCTTCGCTGTCTCTGGAATAATGAATTTGTTATTACCATGAGCAAGGGGAATACAAAGGCAATTAACAGCTAATTTTGAAAAGATTCACTTGAATTTCTCATTATAATGTCAAATCAGAAATATGATAGTATTTATATTTTTTAATTTACCACAGCATACATAGAAATTAGCATACATATTCTACCAGCATTAATATTTACCTGTTCCTTAAATTCATCTGCCTGTTACTGCTGAATAGAAATTGTCAGTCATGGCCAGGTGTGGTGGCTCATACCTGTAATCTCAGTACTTTGGGAAGCCGAGGTGGGCAGATCACCTGAGGTCAGGAGTTCCAGACTAGCCTGGCCAACATGGTGAAACCCTGTCTCTACTAAAAATACAAAAATTAGCTGGGTACGATGGCATGTGCCTGTAATCCCAGCTACTCGGGAGGCTGAGGCAGGAGAATCGCTTGAACCCAGGAGGCGGAGGTTGCAGTGAGCCAAGATCCCGCCCTTGCACTCCAGCCTGGGTGTCGCAGCAAGACTATGTCTCAAAAAAAAAAAAAGATTGTCAGTCATAAATGTAATGAAAAACCAAAACAAACTAAATCAGTCTAGATTTTAGAAAGACACTTTATCACAACAGACTGTTCTTTCAAAAAGATTTTTAGTATGAAAATGATTCATATTAGCAAGTAGTGTTCAATCACTATTTACACTAGAAAATAAATGATGTATATGTATATAATTAATTTAAAATATATGAAAAGATATTCATCAAATTGTTTACAGTGATTATCTCTGGGAAAAAGAATGAAGTAAAGAGCAACTAACTTTATATATTCCTATACTATGAGTTTGCACAATAAGTATATATTCATGTATTGCTTATGCAATTGAAAGTGAGTAACTTTAAGGAGAGTAGGTGTAGAATGTGGTTTTATATCATTTTCTATAGTAACCTAGCATGTATCTCATGCCATGCTATTCAAATTGTTTTAGGTGGTAGTGTGCCAGAGAGCTCTCTAAGACCAAAAAAATGGTGGATTTACTTTATATTTAATAGTTTAAAGCCTTATTTTTGTGTTAAAGCAAACCTTAAAATATTATAAGTAAATGAGATACAAAATTTGCACAAATTATTGAGGTAAAACACGAGGCCTCAACCAATATCATATTTGTTGTGAGCCACTTCAGGGCTGTAGTTTATTGGGAAACTTGAGAAGTACTGAGCCTTCAAGTCTCTTTGTTTTAAGGGCTACTAGTGAACTTTGGAGAAGCTACTGACTTTACCAAGTCATAAATCATTCATATCTCTTGTTAAAGATACGTTATTCTCACTTGGGGAGGCCGAGATGCATGGATCACCTAAGGTCAGGAGTTCGAGACCAGCCTGGCCAACATGGTGAAACCCCGTCTCCACTAAA